>NC_000010.11:78021883-78173398 GCF_000001405.40 Homo sapiens
CGAAGCCTCTGGTCCACTTCTTGGGTGCCATGTTGAGGGGAATGCCCGAGAGCTCACTGTTAATGTAGAGGGCACACTGCAGCTGCAGGAAATCCCAGTCCTCCATGATCATCTGGGTCTTGGCTCCTGAGATCCGATGCTAAAACCAGCACAGCCCAAACAGAAACAAACCTGGTCAGTTTGATTTTTCTCACATTTTCTTGACCAGAAGTTTTTGGATAGATATACTATGAAACTTACAAGGAAATGGGAGGCACTGACCTTTTTAATAACATCGTTTAGGAAAATGATTTCTGTCAGTTTCATTGTCAGATCATCTTCATTGGTGCCAGACTTCAAATCACTCACAACGGAGGGTCTGATACACAAAGGAGGCACCAAAAGTCGTGTGAGAATCAAATCAGACGGCTTTCCGGCTTCTGGGTTCATCAGAAGTAGAGGAACATCTTCAGCTGGGATTCGTTTAAATAAATTCAGAACTACTAAGGGATTCAAGTTTTCCTATGGAAACGAAGAAAGGCAGAAATGGAGATACTATGTTAGTTTTCCATAGCTTGGGCAAGGTTTTCCTTCACTATGTTTTCTAACCTATCTGTCACTAAGGATAAGTGACAACAGAGATTTCTATGGATGATACGCTATGCTGCAAGAGCCTTAAAATTGTGTATGTCTTTTATTCCAATTTTTCAAGCCAAAAATTCCACTTCTCATTATTCCAAGGGGTGTAACTTCAGAAATGAACACAAAGATTTAGCTACAAGAATGTTCACAAAAGCTGTTTTTTGTTATTTTTTATCCGTGTGACAGAATAGGAAGGTAATAAAAGCTGTTCTTAACAGTGAAAAGTTGGAAAGAGCCTGACAGTTTATTGGCTAAATAAAATCACGGTATATCCCTATGTGGAAAAGCAGCAAGCCATTGGGGGGAAAAAAAGATACTAGACAAACACAGCAATTGACATAAAAAAGGTCCATAAAATATTGGTAGCTGGAGGCTGGGCGTAGTGGCTCATGCCTGTAATCTCAGCACTTTGGAAGGCCGAGGTAGGTAGATTACCTGAGGTCAGGAGTTCGAGACCAGCCTGACAAACATGGCGAAACCTCGTCTCTACTAAAAATACAAAAATTAGCTGGGCATGGTGGCACACGCCTGTAATCCCAGATACTTGGGAGGCTGAGGCAGGAGAATCACTTGAACCTGGGAGGCAGAGGTTGCCGTGAGCCGATATCATGCCATTGCACTCCAGCCTAAGCAGTAAGAGTGAAATTCCATCTAAAAAAAAAAAAAGTGTTACTGGCTGGGCATGGTGGCTCATGTCTATAATCCCAGCACTTAGAGGGGCTGAGGCGGGTGGGTCACCTGAGGTCAGGAGTTCAAGACCAGCCTGGTCAACATAGTAAAACCCTGTCTCTACAAAAGTACAAAAATTAGCCGGGCATGGTGGCGGGCACTTGTAGTCCCAGCAACTCGGGAGGCTGAGGCAAAAGAATCACTTGAACGTGGGAGGTGGAGGTTGCAGTGAGCCTAGATCGTGCAACCGCACTCCAGCCTGGGTGACTGAGCAACTCTGTCTCTAAAAAAAAAAAGTGTTACTGTTAAAAAAGAACTAAGGTAAGCCAGGATGCAGTGGCTGACACCTGTAATCCCAGTACTTTGGAGGCTGACGCAGGAGGATTGCTTGAACCCAGGAGTTCAAAGCCTGGGCAACATAGCAAGACCTTGTCTCTACAACAAATTAAAAAATTGTTGCTGGGGGTGGTGGTGTGTGCCTGTAGTCCCAGCTACTTGGGAGGCTGACATGCAAGGATCACTTGAGCCTAGGAGGTCGGGGCTGCAATGAGCCTCGATCATACCACTGCACTCCAGCCTGGGAGACAGAGAGAGACCCTGCCTCAAAAATTAAAATAAATAAATAAACAAATATATAAAATAATAATAAAAAAAAAGAACTGAGGTAAAAACACAAACAAGGGGCCAGGAATGGTGACCTATGCCTGTAATCCCAGCACTTTGGAAGGCTGAGGTGAGAGGATCTCTTGGGCTCAGGAGTTTGAGACCAGACTGGGCAACACAGCAAGACCCCATCTCAATTAAAAACAAAAGCAAAAACAAAAACAACTGGTGTTACAAGGCCAGTCCACATTAGCCTTAGTGCCAGATAAACACTGTTACGGTCAAATAAGAATTACTGGAGAGCTGGCCGGGTGTGGTGGCTCATACCTGTAATCTTAGCACTTTGGGAGGCTGAGGCGACTGGATCACCTGTGGTCAGGAGTTCAAGACTGGCCTGGCCAATATGGGGAAACCCTGTCTCTACTAAAAATATAAAAATTAGGTGGGCATGGTGGCACATGCCTGTAATCCCAGCTACTTGGGAGGCTGAAGCAGAAGAATCGTTTTAACCTGGGATGCACAGGTTGCAGTGAACCAAGATTTGCACCACTCACTCCAGCCAGGGTGAAAGAGCGAGACTCTGTCTTCCATCTCAAAAAAAAAAAAAAAAAAAGGAATTATCGGAGAGCTGTCGAACCTAACTGGACCTCTCATTTTGGAAGAAAGTGGGTGTCTAGGGGTGGGGCGGAGTTGGGGGAGAGAGTGTGCATGTGACGTGCGGAAGAGGCAGGCGGGAGGCAGGCGGAAGGCAGGCGTGCATTCTCAGGCTCACCTGTGCCCTTCCCAGCAGAGGCTCCACTTCTTTATTATGTTCAATGGCTGTTTCAAAAGACTGAAGGAAATTTGATACAATGGGATCCACCACTTTTTTGTTGGTCTTGTATTTCTCATGAATTATTTTCAGCAGTCCACACTTCTTTACGGTACCTATAAGGGTTAGTTTATTTACCAAGAAATAAAAAATTATGTTCTCAGATTGGCCAGAGATTGTAGTATGGTTAATGAAATTACTGAAACTACTATAGCAATGAAAGATGAGAGGTCCGTTTCCCAATAGGACATCAGTTGTTGGGCTCTTAAGCCTAATTTATAAGGAGAAAAGCTGACTCCCGAACATTATGTAAACCTAATAAACTAAACAGAAGACAGTGAGTGAAAAGGGCTATTGCTTAGCCTTCTGTGCATTCCACTCACCATTAAAAGCGCCACAGTGATGGCAGATGTTTTTCTTCCGGCACTTGTCAGAGATTTTCTTTTTCAGTCCTCGCTTCTGAAGGTAGGTCAGGCCGGGCCTCTTTAGATAGTCCAGAAACTGCTTCTTCTCCTCTTGGGACAGCATGATGTGGCAGCAGGTTTTGCAGATCATCTTTTTCAAATTAAGCAAGACAGATAAAAGCATAAGTGAGAATGAAAAATTATTTTCTTTTAAAAATGCCATCGCCCTGTTTTGTACCCTTAACCACGTGACCATATACACAGATCTGCAAATGGCTCTATACTATGGATATGCAGAGAGGAAGCCTGTGTTCACTAGATTAGCAGTACTCACAGCCAGTAGGCAGACTTTGTTACCTTTATCTTTTTCTTTGTGCTATTCTGTATTGTTTGAATTACTACTATTGTTATTTTTTTAAGAACACGTATCTACCATCTTCTCAAGGTAAATAAACAAAATAAATAATTCTTGAGTGATTTAACGTAGTGTGAGATGAAAATATTATGTACTTAGTATAAAAGAGTCCCCTAGATGTATCCCCCACCACTCACAGTTCCTAAGTTCATTCCAGCATCCCTGACCAATCACTCCAGAATTTATGTCTTGGAAATCAGCACCTGTGTGCTTACCTGTAAGATGCCTATGACTGCTCTGAAGTACCCTACATGAAAACACGGCAACTCCAGGTCGATATACCCATAGTGGCCTAGACAGTCAGCCAAGTTTTTCCCACAGGTTTCACATGGACGATCCTTCTCACTCGTACCCTTTGAAAAAAAGCACACCCAATGATCAACACAGACTGCTGGACGGGAAAGAGTGCCCAGCCATCATGCCTGGCTGGTGACACAGAATCATTTCTTTTGCTTCTTAAATTTCCTTTCTGAGATCACTTCCTACTGTTTTTCTTTCTTTTCTAATTTTCATGACTCAGAATCGAATCAGGTTGCTGACTAAAGGCCGGAGTTCTTGACCTAGTCTAATATGTGCAGGGGGGAATTGAGGAGATGGAAGGAAGCCCCTGCTCCTTTCAATCTGGTAAGTCACCAGTTTTATCAGCAGGGCAAGACACAGTTACCAGGAGGGGTGAGGGGGCCTTACCATCCTATGGTCGAGCACCCCATATAGCAAGGGGGCATGTTGGTTGTCCTGGCTGTACAGGTTCTTACTCACAACTTGGATGTGCGCCTGCTGGCGCATCTCCTCAGGTGACTTCATTCCAAAACAGATGTGGCTTCTGGAATGGGAAGAAAAAGGTGAAAATTACAGCAAAATCTGTGACCAAAAATGTCTATTACATACATAGCCCACCATAACCAACCTATCCTTCCAACTGTCTCCACTGGCTTTTCCTACCAGTATTAAATATATTTAACCCTCTCTCATTTTTCCTTCACAAACATCCCTTCATCTTACTGGAATCCAGTTTCTACTCTCACCATCAAAGGAACAGTGCTCACCAAGGCCACCTAGACAACCTGCCTGCTGCTGAATCCAATAAGAACTTCCTCATTTTACCTCTGCAGCACTGGCAGCACCCTGCCCAATCCTGAAGTGCTTTTCTCTCGGCTTTGGTGACACCATACACTCTGAGTTTTCTTCTTCCCTTCTCTGGCTGCTCCTTGTACAGTCTCTTTTGAGGTCTTTTCTTCTACTGCTATCCCTTAAATATTGGTGCACTGTACCACCTAGCATTACAACCTTCATCCTCTTATCTTCTCATCCTACACATTCTCCTGAGTGATCATGCCACTCACATACATGTTGATGTCTATCAAATCTATCTCTATAGGCCAGCTACTGCTACCCAACTGGACATCTGTATAGACACCTCCTCCTGGACAGTTCCACCTAGATATCTCATAGGCACTTCAAACCCCACACATTGAAAACAGACCTCAATACTTTTTCTCCCATGTCTGTCCCTTCATTCATTCTTCCAACAAATTGACTATTTCCTATGTGCCAGGCACCATCCTACAGGCTGAGGATACAGATTAGCTAAGACAGACAAGGTCCTTGCCAACAAAGAGCTCACAGGTCAGGGTGGGAAAGACAGACCACAAACAAACGAATATACAAATGTGAACAGATGCAGAAGTGATGTAAGCAGTGGAGTCTGAGGAATTACTTTACGTTGCATGGTCAGAAAGCCTCACTGTAAAACTGACAATCAGAAGGAAGAGCATCTGAAGTGGAGAGAATGACTAGGGCCAGGGTCCTGGGACTGGCACAAGCTTGGCATTTTCAAGGAACCAAATGAAATCAGTATATACTGGAGCATAGAAAGCTAATAGTACAAGATAAAGTCAGTGAAGCATGCAGGAGCTAAAGCATGAGGGCTTGGGAACTTTGGTAGGGAATTTATTTAAATAACATAAATGCAGCCGGGTGCGGTGGCTCATGCCTGTAATCCCAGCACTTTGGGAGGCCAAGGTGGGTGGATCACGAGGCAAGGAGATTGAGACCATCCTGGCTAACATGGTGAAACCCTGTCTCTACTAAAAATACAAAAAATTTGCTAGGCGTGATGGCCCACACAATGGAAAGCTGCTAGAGGATTTTTTTTTTTCCCTGAGACAGAGTCTTGCTCTGTCACCCAGGCTGGAGTGCAGTGGTGCGATCTCAGCTCACTGCAACCTCTGCCTCCTGGGTTCAAGCGATTCTCCTGCCTCAGACTCCCAAGTAGCTGGGGTTACAGGCATACAGGCATGCGCCACCGCACCCAGCTAATTTTTGTATTTTTAGTAGAGATGAGGTTTTACCATATTGGCCAGTCTGGTCTTGAACTTCTGACCTCATGATCTGCCTGCCATGGCCTCCCAAAGTGCTGGGATTACAGACGTGAGCCACCACTCCTGGCCTCTGCTAGAGGATTTTAATTGACAATACCCTTAATTTGCACTTTGACAGAAGCACTTTCTCTGTTTTGTGAGAATGTATTATATCTGACTGGGCGCAGGTGTACAGGTGGGTGTGAAGGGCCAGTGTCGATGTAGAGCTACCACATGGGAGAATGCTGCATTCACCTAGGTAAGACACCTGTTCTAGTGAATGGCAACCATCCACACAGCTGCCCAAGCAAGGCATTCTGTATATCCGTCTCAAGGTCTCTCGACCTCTAATTCTTTCCACCATGAATCAAGAGATTTTCCAGAAGGAGAACTCTTATCAAGATACTCTCCTGTTGAAAATCCTTCAAAGGTTCCTCACTGCCTACAAGATGACTTCTTAACACAGCTTCAAGTCTTCTGCTTCCTTCTGATCACCTGTGTTCTCTCCCTCAGGTCTGCTCCTTGAAAAAAGCAGTTTGGTCTGCTTTCTTTTGCCTGGACCCATTATGTGCTCTCAAAACCCCCTGGACCTACCCTTGTCATTGCACTTGTCGTACCCAGTGTTGACTTGTGTACCTTCTCCAACTAGATTAGGCAGTAAAAGTTTTATTCAGACCGTATCTTTAACGTCCAACACTGGGAATAACGCGCAGTATCCTCCTCAGTGTCTGCTGTAAGAATGATGAATTCACTTTTTTTTTTGAGACACCGTCTCACTCTGTCACTCAGGGTGGAATGCAGGAGGTTGCCCACTGCAACCTCTGCCTCCCAGGCTCAAGTGATTTTTCGGCCTCAGCCTCCCGAGTAGCTGGGACCACAAGGGCGCGCCACCACGCCTGCTAATTTTTGTATTTTTGATAGAGACGGGGTTTCGCCACGTTGCCCAGGCTAGTCTCAAACTCCTGAGCTCAGGAGATTCACCCGCTTCGGCCTCCTAAAGTGCTGGGATTACAGGAGTAAGCCACCGCGCCCGGCTGGATTCACTTTCTTACCGAGAACTCTAAGAAGGAGCCACCGCCTAATAACGTATTTCTGAAGGCAAAAGTCCGGATAGCAGCTTTATTTCTGACACTGCCATCCGTCGGCCTGTGGTACAGCTTTCTAGTGGGCAACCCCATCCTTTTGGTAAGCAACTACTGCCTCCGTGT
Source organism: Homo sapiens (assembly GCF_000001405.40). Classification (NCBI taxonomy): domain Eukaryota; kingdom Metazoa; phylum Chordata; class Mammalia; order Primates; family Hominidae; genus Homo; species Homo sapiens. The sequence goes on from NC_000010.11 coordinate 78,028,975, forward strand.
CAGACGCTCTGCGGCTGACAGAATTAGAGACAGTCCCCGCCCCAGATTGCTCCCCTCGCTGCAGCAGGGGATAGTTCGCTGAAGAACAGGGATCATTGTATGACTTCAGGAGAATGCGAGCTTTGGCCCAGGGTGCACAAATCATTAAGGCTCAGGCCACTCCGACTTCTCCGCCCAAGTCCAGGGACCTCTCGAGGTGCTGAAATCCCCTCAGCCTGACCAATGCTCTTTGACCAACGCTGGTAGTTCTGGGCGCTGGTCACACCTATGGACTACTGGCCCTCCCCTTCCCATTGCACCCCATCTCTGACCCTGCAAGACCCGGGACCGCTGACCTCGGACCCCTTGCCCTATTTCTCAGCCCTTTGGCCACTCTTACTCCGTCTTACATTTTCTTGGCCACATCCGTCTCCCGGAACTGCTCCTTCACCATGATGACCGCTGCCGGGACGCCTCCTTGGCACTCGGGAGGCCAGATTAGAGAAACGATGCCCCCAGCACCTCCTGGGGCTGCTTCTGGACTCGCCGCTAACACATCTGCGGCATCCTCTCGGCCACCGTAGAGTGTCCCACGTGTCCGCTTCCTCTTCCGCTACTCGCCCGCGCGTCTGTCTGTCAAGAGAGACTTCCGGCATGCCTTTTTTTTTTTTTTTTTTCCCTTTCCCCGCACCGTCACCTGGTGGCGCTTACTGGAAGCCGCACCGAGGCGTGTGCTGTATTTTAAAAATCCCATTTCTGGTCAATTTCTCCACGTAATCAGACACCCGCAGAGAAACTGCATATAACTCTTTGCCTCAAGGCTTTTAGACAAGCAGAGGGCCAAAACTTGCATAAAATGGAAAATCATCATCATTAACATCAGTACCATCTAAATTAAGAGCTTCTAATTGTTTTAAGGGAAGGTGGAAGCTAAAATGAACCGGCCCATCCAACAGAGGGCACTATCTGTGGAGGACCAACAAAGGAAAACAGAGCGGAAAATATGGGCGCACATGTGCCTCCAGTTCATGAAGTTATTTGGAGGGAGGGGGGAAGAATTAAACTTACATTATTGATTACAAAAACAGTTGAAAATCTGTTAGAGTGAAAACAGCCATGGTAATCTACAGAAGAAAAGGGAGAATGGAAAGTAAAGATCATTCATGTCTTGAAATAAGTTGTCTACAGTCTGTGAGAACTTGTGGGAGGTGATCCTAGTGTGATATATTAGTGCATGAGCCTAGCAAGGAAATCACATCACCACAGGGCTTAGCGCTTAGAATTAGAACTAAGTCCTCATTATTTGTGAGAAACTCAAAACAGAACTTAACAAAAGTGTTTAACAACTTTCAATTTTTAAGAAGGGACGCTATCTCATTTTCAGACGCCATGGATCCTCACTAGCAAAACACAATGTCACAGACAAACGAGGCATATCAGGTTTTTCTAACTCATTTCGGTACTCCATCACTTAATCATGAAATAATGTTGACTATATATATATATATATATATATATATATAGTCAACATTATGGGTTTTTTTTGTTTTTTTTTTTTTTTTTTTTTTGAGACGGAGTCTCGCTCTGTCGCCTAGACTGGAGTGCAGTGGCGAAATCTCGGCTCACCGCAACCTCCGCCTCCCGGGTTCAAGCGATTCTCCTGGCTCAGCCTCCCGAGTAGCTGGGACTACAAGCGCCCGCCACCACGCCCAGCTAATTTTTGTATTTTTAGTAGAGACGGGGTTTTACTATGTTGGCCAGGCTGGTCTCGAATCCCTGACCTCGTGATCCGCCCGCCTCAGTCTCCCAAAGTGATAGGATTACAGGTGTGAGCCACCACACCCGGCTCTGATGTTTACAATATTATACCAACAAGGGTTGGATCGTGTGTGACTTATCTAGAGGTTAAGAGCAAAAGTTATGAAATCACAGTGCCATCATGGGAGTCTAGCTTTCACCATTTAAAGTTGTGTAGGCAGCCAGGCGTGGTGGCTCACGCCTGTAATCCTAGCACTTTGGGAGGCCAAGGTGGGCGGATCACCTGAGGTCAGGAGTTCGGGACCAGCCTGGTCAACATGGTGAAACCCCATCTCTACTAAAAATACAAAAATTAGCTGGGGTTGGTGGTGTGCGCCTGTAATCCCAGGTACTCGGGAGGCTGAGGCAGGAGAATCGCTTGAAGCTGGGAGGTGGAGGTTGCAGTGAGCCGAGACCATGCCATTGCACTGCAGCCTGGGCGACAAGAGTGAAACTCCATCTCAAAAATAAAAAAAAATAAAAAATAAAGTTGTGCAGGCCGGGCGCGGTGGCTCACGCCTGTAATCTCAGCACTTTGGGAGGCCGAGGTGGGCAGATCATGAGGTCAGGAATTTGAGACCAGCCTGACCAATATGGTGAAACTCCGTCTCTACTAAAAAATACAAAAATTAGCCTGGTGTGGTGGCGCATTCCTGTAATTCCAGCAACTCAGGAGGCTAAGGCAGGAGAATCGCTTAAATCCGGGAGGCGGAGGTTGCAGTGAGCCAAGATTGTGCCACTGCACTCCAGCCTGGGCAACAGAGCAAGACTCTGCCTCAAAAAAAAAAAAAAAAAAAATATATATATATATATATATAGATATAGATATAGATATATGTGTATATATACACATACGTGTATATATACACGTATATAAAGTGTGAACTTGGGAAAGTTATTTAATCTTATTGTGTGTTAGTTTCCCCATTTATAACATGGGTGAGTAATATGTATCCTATTTCTTAGAGTCAATGGGAAGGTTAAATAGCAAAATGAAGGTAAAAGTAATTAGAATGTAACAGGCACATTACAATCACTCAATAAATATTCTTCTGCCTCAGCCTCCCGAGTAGCTGGGACTACAGGTGCGCACCACCATGCCTGGCTAATTTTTGTATTTTTAGTAGAGACGGGGTTTCACCATATTGGCTAGGCTGGTCTTGAACTCCTGACCTCGTGATCTGCCTGCCTCGGCCTTCCAGAGTGCTGGGATTACAGGCATGAGCCACCGTGCCCAGCCGGCTGACTATTTTCTTAAGAATAAGGATAGTTGGTCACCTCGGGAGGCTGAGGCAGAAGAATCGCTTGAACTTGGGAGGCGGATGTTGCAGTGACCCGAGATCCCGCCACTGCACTCCAGCCTGGGTGACAGAGCGAGATGCGGTCTCAAAAAAAAAAAAAAAAACAAAAAACGAAAAAAAAGAAAAATAGTCGGCCGGGGACGGTGGCTCACGCCTATAATCCCAGCACTTTGAGAGGCCGAGGCGGGGGCGGATCACTTGCGGTCAGGAGTTGGAGACCAGCCTGGCCAACATGGTGAAACCCCGTCTCTCCTAAAAATACAAAAATTAGCTGGGCATTGTGGCGCAGGCCTGTAATTTTAGTTACTCTGGAAGCTGAGCCAGGAGAATCGCTTGAATCCGGGAGGTCGAGGTTGCAGTGAGCCGCGATGAAGCCATTGCTCTCCAACCTGGGTGACAAGAGCTAGACTCTGTCTCAGGAAAAAAAAAAAAAGAAAATAGGAAAGCTGCCCGCAAAGCCTGCACCTTGGACACCTCGTCTGCACTAACATTTGGGAAATTCTTCTTATTATTTCTCCGGAACATATATATTTACATTCTTTACATGTCTGTTTCACGTTAAAGAAAATATTTCTGGAGCAATCAATTTTTTTTTCCTTTTTTTTTTTTTTTTTCTGAGACGGAGTTTCGCTCTTATTGCCCAGGCGGAGTGCAATGGTGCGATCTCGGCCCACTGCAACCTCCGCCTCCCGGGTTCAAGCGATTCTCCTGTCTCAGCCTCCCAGATAGCTGGGATTAGAGGCATGCACCACCACGCCCGGCCAATTTTTTTTTTTTTGTAGTAGAGACGGGGTTTCGCCATTTTGCCCAGGCTGGTATCGAACTTCTGACCTCAGGTCATCTACCTGCTTCGGCCTCCCAAAGTGTTGGGATTATAGGCGTGAGCCACTGCCCCTGGCTTCCAATTTTTTTTTCCTTTTTTTTCTTTTCTTTTTTTTTTTTTTCTGAGACGGATTTTCGCTCCTGTTGCCCAGGCTGGAGTGCAATGGTGTGATCTCGGCCCACTGCAACCTTTGCTTCCCGGGTTCTGGCGATTCTCCTGCCTCAGCCTCCCGAGTAGCTGGGATTACAGGCATGAGCCACCACGCCCCGCTAATTTTGTATTTTGTATTTATTTATTTATTTATTTTCGTAGATACGTGGTTTCGCCATGTTGGCCAGGCTGGTATCGAACTCCTGACCTCAGGTGATCCGCCCGCCTTGCCCTCCCAAAGTGCTGGGATTACAGGCGTGGCCATCGCGCCCGGCCAAATATTTTTCAAAATCTAATTTTGCATAATGACCAAGATTTGCAGAAAAATACAAATTAAAGAGATCTTTTAAAGTAAAGATTCGTCATAAAAGTCACAGAAATAATACTCATGAATAATAAATTAGAATGGGCAATGTTAAGTACTTGAAATAACAAAGGTTTTAGAGTCAGGGTTTCTGCAGTTTCCCTAGCCATATAACGAGGAGACTGTTAGAGAGGATATCCTAAAATGCTTTCCAAGTTTACCCACCTCTAACTCGGAAGAAGGCAATTTAAACTAATTTGGTTTACCGGAATTCAAATACGTACAATTCAACATAATGAATTGAACTGAAATTGAACACCTGCTTGCGTAAACCTAGTCGGCTCGAGTTGTTCTGGTTCTGGATTGGTCAGTCTAGAGTTCCAGGGGTGTGGCCAAAAGTCTGTGAGGCGGGGCCGTAGGCAGCCTAAATCAGGCATCGGCGCGGTCAGCCTCGTGGCGCGCCCACGCCCCCACGCCGGCTCTTCCCGGGGTCCTTCCGTGCGCGTTGATATGATTGGCCGGCGAATCGTGGTTCTCTTTTCCTCCTTGGCTGTCTGAAGATAGATCGCCATCATGGTGAGTCTCCCTGGGCCCGTGCAGTCATCTGCCGCGTATCCGAGCCATCCGTGGTCCCTGGGTCCCAGTACTTGAGCTATAGGCACGCGAAGCCCGGTTGCTCTTCTCTGGCCGTTTCTGTCAGAGGATGGTTGTCGAGGGGCTCGGGGCTGTTGGCAGGGCGTCCGGGCTGGCGGGCTGCGCTGTAGACCCGGACACGCTGGGCTTCGGGCTCCAGCGCCTGGGCAGTGCAGGAGCTGTTGCGCTTGTTGACTTCGTGGAGCACGGTGGATGGGGGTAGGGGGCGGGCGGGATAGATGGACACTGGGAGGCACATCTCGTCTGCAGTTCCTCATTGGGCTAGGTAGGCGGCTTGCAGGTGATGGCAGTACAAGAGGTGAAGAAGGTGCGGGCAGCGCCTGGGCGAGTTGCGGCAAGTGAAACCATTCCCACGTGTAAGCTAGAAAACTTGTCAGCTGGATGGATCTTCATGTTTCATAGTGGGGAAACAGGCCCTGGAAAGAGATGTTATAAAAAGGTAGTCCTGCCCTAAGTCATGCGTTATTAGCTCCTCCAGCATCCGTTTTTAACTTTACCAGCAATCTTTTTTTTTTCTCCTTACCTTTGATCCGTTACTTTCAAGAATTGAGTACCACTGACGTGGATTTAATTTGGTGTGGTTTCTCAAAGTAAAATGGAGAAAGTCTAGGAAGTTATTTGCTGCCATGAAAGTCTCTTGCGCCTCCTTTTTGGTAAAATTGTTAGCATAAATTGCTTAATGCCCACATTTTTTGTTAGGTATTAAGTAAAGGTGCAGTTCAGTCCTTCAGAAGGGAATATCGTTTTCTCTGATCTCTGCTATGGCCATTCTAGAAGGATAGATTACATGTAGGTAGTGAGTACAAGGTTTGGGGCACATTTGTGCAAGACATGATAAACACAGTTCATTGAGTGACCTTTATATGAGCCACAGCAGTTTTTACCCCAGAGAAGTGATTCTCAACCCGGAGTGATTTTTCTCCTAAGGGAACAGTTGGCTAAGTCTGGAGACATTTTTGATTGTCACAACTGGGAAAGGTGGGAAGTGCTTCCGGCATCTAGTGGTTAGAGGGCTGGGATTTTTATAGTTATTCTAAAACATACAGTCCCCACAACATATCCATATGGAATTATCCATATGGAAATATCAGTAGTGCTGAGGTTGAGAAACCCTGCCCCAGAGATACACATAACCTAGTGAAGTAAGTTGTACAGATTCATGTGTAAAACCATTGTGTTTTCCTGGTATTTTATGTATTCCTTAGGTGTATCCTGTGAGTTTGGCCTTGCCCAGTGGGTTTTATTTACTTTAGTTCGCTACATGACTAATGGCTACAAATTGGACTGCAACATTCTAGGTCTTGGAAAATCACAGCAAGGCCAAGAAAAGTTGGAGTAGTTTTATTAACCAGAGTGTTTATGTTTTCAGAACGACACCGTAACTATCCGCACTAGAAAGTTCATGACCAACCGACTACTTCAGAGGAAACAAATGGTAAGGAAGGGCACATCAATCTTTGCTTAATTGTCCTTTACTCTAAAGATGTATTTTATCATACTGAATGCTAAACTTGATATCTCCTTTTAGGTCATTGATGTCCTTCACCCCGGGAAGGCGACAGTGCCTAAGACAGAAATTCGGGAAAAACTAGCCAAAATGTACAAGACCACACCGGATGTCATCTTTGTATTTGGATTCAGAACTCATTTTGGTGGTGGCAAGACAACTGGCTTTGGCATGATTTATGATTCCCTGGATTATGCAAAGAAAAATGAACCCAAACATAGACTTGCAAGAGTAGGTGTCTTTTCATTTGTTGATCAGCTCCTGAAGACCTATTTTTTCAATAGCGTTGTGTTGTGAGTGTGGTAAAAAGGGCAAGACCAAGCAATCTGGGATACAACTCTGAAAGGATTAAGAGAAAAAGTTATTTCATAAAATGCACAGGTGGAGTACGGGGGTTCAAAATTGAAGTCTGACATTTGAGCTGAGTTCAGAAGGGCAGCTGAAGTAGTGTTCTTGGAGATGGGCTAGGGGTAAGGATTGTTTTCCAGAGGAGAAGTAAGGGGATGTGTTTGGAAAGGTAGCCTGGCACCAAATTCACTTAGTTTGGATTAAGTCTGCATCTGGGCTTAAACCCATAGGTAGTCAGGAACCAGGAAAAGTTTTTGATTGTATACTGAGTGTCAAACACTGCAGAGTGAACTACAGCAGTGATCTGGGCAAGCTCCCCAGCTTACATTCTAGTAAACAAGTAAGCATCATCACCTCGAAGTGCTTGTTTTGTTTGTTCCTTTAACTCACTTTATCCTATCCTGTTAGATAAACCTTCCCATACGATAGCTGTGAGGGAAAATCCTGGTGATGTCATAGGTAGAGGCTGCACTTTTTTTTTTAGAGAGAGAGTTTAGCTCTGTCGCCCAGGCTGGAGTGCAGTGGTACAATCTCCTTGGCTCACTGCAACCTCCGCCTGCCAGGTTCACGCAACTCTTCTGCCTGAGCTTCCTGAGTAGCTGGGATTACAGGTGCGCACCATCATGCCTGGGTAATTTTTGTATTTTTAGTAGAGACTGGGTTTCACCATGTTGGTCAGCCTGGTCTTGAACTCCTGACCTCGTAATCCGCCCACCTCGGCCTCCCAAAATGTTGGGATTACAGGTGTGAGCCACCGTGCCCAGCTGAGGCTGCACTATTTTTAACTGACGTTCGGTCATGTTAAAGGCCTTGCTGAGGTGGTGACATTGAAGCTGAGATCCTTGTAAAGATTTGGAAGTAGTCTTTGTAAAGATACAGAAACAGTCTTGTAGGCCCCAGGAACAGCAAGTGCAAAGGTGGGCAGAGTGGAGATGAGTAGATCCGGAATCTCCATGATGTGGGGGTTGTAAATGCTTGTCTGTCATAAGGGAGTAATGGGGAGTTGAAATGGGAAGAGATCCCCTCAGCCACTTCGGAGGTGCCTTGTTTTGGTAGTGCAAAAGAAGAAAAAATAGTGATCTGTGAGCTCAAGTCTGGACAAGAACAGCCAGTCTCCCAAACTCCCTGTTGAGAGAATGTTGAGTGGACCATTTGTTTCCTGTGAGGCTATTCCATACCTAAAATCCCTTGATGATCCTTTCTGTTCCAGCAAAAACATGCATTAAATGTACTTGAAAAGTTTTGGTTTAGAAAGCTGTGTTTCTTAAGCTCAGACTGGGTCAGTTTCCCTACCAGAGTGGTGGGTAATGATTTTAATGTTTACAAGTCACCTGGATGTACTCTTTTCTCATTCAGCATGGCCTGTATGAGAAGAAAAAGACCTCAAGAAAGCAACGAAAGGAACGCAAGAACAGAATGAAGAAAGTCAGGGGGACTGCAAAGGCCAATGTTGGTGCTGGCAAAAAGGTATAGTTCATTAAGGAAAATATAGAAACGTCATTAATTGTAGGTCTTTAGTTTCTAGGAAAGAAGGGATCTTATTAATTTTTAAAATAACTTTTCTTAATGTTTCTTCTTTTCCCTCTTCTTCTGGATTACAGAAGGTAACATGTTTTAAGAAACTATGTAGCATAGTGTCTTAACACCTCAGTAAAGTAGCTTGGCCCACCCCTTGTCAGCTCACAGCACAATCTGGAGGCCACATTGGTTCATTGATCCCAGCTGGTGGGCACCTTTCAAGCCTATCACAAGAAGTTTTAATTTTACTAATTGGCATAGAACCTTCAATGCAGAGCGGATCCCATTCCCTGTGATTTTACTTATTAATATGGACACTGGTTTAAGAAGCAGTTGGATCAATGTGGCCCGTGTTTTCCTGGCACACTGGAAAGGCAACTGAGATCTCAGGATTGCTTTCCTCTCCAGTTGGCCAAGACAAGTGATTTTAGCGATAAGCAGCTTTTTACCAGCTTTGCTAGCTGTAAATAGTTGGACATTGTAAATCATTGAATAGAATTAAGGTGTTGGGTTGTTAAATTAACAAATAATCAAGTGTTCTGTGAACTTTTTTTTTTTTTTTTTTTTTTTGCTTTTCCTCTCTACTTTCTTGGATTTCTTGTTCATCAGAAATGAAGTGTCTAGCAGGTACTGAGATTGTAAGCACGGTGTGGGGATGCATCACCTTCACTGAGTTTGCTTTGATGATGCTTTGCATGTTGGCCTTTGGACGACAGTTTTATAGTATGGTCGATTATAATGCCAGTGCTATTTAGGCTGGTGCAAAAGTAATTGCAGTGGCAAAAACCACAATTACTTTTGCACCAACCTAATATGTTTTAAGATAGTATATTATGAGCAAAGGAGAAAACGTTTAAAATCATGTTTATTTTGTAAACTCCAAAATGCATGTTACATGTGAAGTGACTCACTGGAGGAAGGTGAGTACTTTACCAAGTAGGCACTTGGGAAATGCTGTGTCCACATACTTAGGAAATGGCTTCAGTTAACACTGGGCTTGGGAAGGGCTCTCTTATCCAAGGAGCAGTCTTCTCTGGAGCCATGAAACCAGCCTGGCAGCACTGGTAATAAACTAGTCTGTGAAATCTGGCAAAGCCTCTGTCCTGTTTGGATATACGCAAAACTGCCTTTTACCATTTCCATTGCTTTTTATTACTTAATCTCCCAACTTTGTGCCTGGTGTCTTTTTTTTTTTTTTTAAAATAGAAAATTTTTGAGGTAATTATGTATTCATATAAAAGTCTTTGGTGGATATGCTTTTTCCCACAAGCACTTGGTTAGAATGGCCCATTACCTCATTTGTTTATTTTTTGAGACAGGGTCTCTTGTCACCCAGGCTGGAGTACAGTGGCATGATCATGGGTTACTGTACCTCCCGGGCTTGGGTGATTCTCCCACCTCAGCCTCCCTTGTAGCTGCGACTACAGGCATGTGCCACCGTGCCCTGCCAATTTTTTGTAGAGACAGGATTTAGCCGTGTTGCTCAGGCTGCTCTTGAACTCCCGGACTTGAGCAGTCTGCTTGTCTAAGCCTTCCAAAGTGCTGGGATTACAGGTGTGAGCCACTGTGCCCAGCCTGTTACCTCATTTAAAACAAATTTTGCACATCTGAACAGCCTAAAATTGTAATGTGATAAGTGGGGTAGGAGTGGGGTGGGCGTAGTGGGATTTTGAATCAATGAAGGCCCTTGTTCTTGTGGCATCCTTTTGCAGTGATTCCCTGCCAGGCAAGGCAGTAAACCTGGGATTGCCTGCCCAGGACTGTAATCACATTGATGTCCCAGCGCCATGGAGTATGTAATGAATGAACTGCCAGCAGAACTACTCACTAAGAACTACTCCCTGTTTGTGAGGATTGTACCTGTTGAGAGAAGTTGCAAAAAGAATTAGTCAAAAGAATTAGTCAAAATTTGTCCTCTGACCTAGGTCTGAAGGACATTTAACACATTGATTGTTCTCTTCATCCAGCCTTTGAGCCCTATGAGTTAGTGCCCTTAGCCTTTGAGTCCCACAGGTATGGAGGAGCTACCTGTGGGGACCTGAGCCATCACTATTCCTGCTTCAAGTTACACTGGTGCCTCTCACTAGCACTGCTCTGAAAAGCCAGCTGGAAAAATCAATGCATTTGAGTACATAAATTCTTTGGCTCCAAAGAAATGCCATAGCAATATTGCTTTTAATTCAGTTTTGTTTAGATGTTAGAATTGGTATTTGTTCTTGCTTTTTGGTTGCGATGGAGTTATATACTAAGTTACTTATACTAAGGCATTAGTAGTCTCATATCTGAGGAGCAATTGTATTTTTAGTTCAGCTAAATTAATGCCTCTTTTTAAATACTAACTTGTACTACTTTTGTGGCTGTGAATGGTATCTTTTATTGAACTGAGGCAGCTTTTAAAAGACTTGCCTGATCATTTAGAGCACTCCCATTGAGGTTAAATTAGACTTGAATCTGTAATGATTCTCGTAACTGTTCCTGGTGTGTGTCCAGCACAATGTTGCTGGGCAGAGCAGAGGGGCAGAGGCTCAGGTATGTACTTCATTGACAAGTGGGCAAGGCCATCCTGGGTACCACATTGGCTTAATGATCTCTTCATTGTGAAGTCCGGCTACCTCGTTTGCATAAGAACTACAGTAATCAGGCAAGGCATTGTCAGAATTGGGAGGAATAAAATCAGTGAGTCTGGAAGGAGTGCTCTGTATACAATTGCAAAGAACAAAATGGTCATCTTTAAGGTACCTGATTGCATGCACTTAAATGCAGATTATTTTGGAGTTTGAAAAGGGACTATTAATGAAATCTTTCTTTTCCCTCCTTTCTCTTTTTCCCTTCCCCGCCACTGATTCAGTGAGCTGGAGATTGGATCACAGGTATAATTCAAGCTTTTCATGTAGTCATGTAGATCACTAGACTCCTTGGTGTACTGACGTAGCAATTTAAAAGCAGATCATGTGTAGTACATCTAGAAGTAGATTTACAAATATTCTGAAGAGTTGTAACCTTTTAAAATACTAACAGTGACATGGTTTTGTTTTTAAGGTTTAGCAATATTTAGCCCATTATTTTTGTTTTATTCTTAACTTGAATGTTTGTAAATTTTATTTCTTGATGCTTTCATTGTGTTATGATAACATCAAAATAACTTGATATTCTAGGTTACTAATAATTGTTGTGCATGAGTGTTACTACTTTTGGAATTGAAGACTTTAAAGAATTTTAAAGGCAGTTGTTGACTAAACTTCTTTCTCTTGATTCACAGCCGAAGGAGTAAAGGTGCTGCAATGATGTTAGCTGTGGCCACTGTGGATTTTTCGCAAGAACATTAATAAACTAAAAACTTCATGTGTCTGGTTGTTTGAAATGTATTTGCAGTTTCCTGGGACTGCTAGGAGGTTAGTCTGCTGATTTCAGTTGCTGTCCAAGTTCACATGCTCCATGAAGCATTCAGTGAAAACTTAATGTCATGGGGTGGTGTTTGTTTGCTGCTTGGTTTATAGCTTAGGTGGGTTCATCTGGGAGTCAAGCTTGTAAATGCTGTGTTAAGAACCATGTCCGCGGTGGACGCAGTGTAGTGGCTCACAGTCATCAGCACTTTTGGGAGGTTTGGGTGGGATGATTACACTTAAGCCCAGGAGCTCGAGGCTACAGTGAGGTGTTTTTTTTTTCGAGACAGGGTCTAGCTTTGTTACCTAGGCTGGTCTTGATTGAACTCGGGCTCAAGCGATCCTCCTACCTTGGCCACATAAAGTACTGGCATGAGCGACCACGTCTGGCTTAGAGTCTAAAAAGTACCATGTCTGGATAAACTGGAGAAATCTCAGGAAGCAGTAGAGAGCTGAAAGACTTGGTTGGGCATGAAGGGGACTCAGGAAAAGCAATACCGTGAAGGCAGAAGGGTTGAGGTTGCAGGAAGGAAGGGTAGTGGAATGTTTTGGAGAAAAGATGGTCACAGCCCCTGCATGGAGCACCTACAGACAGGAGGGCAGGGCTGAGAAGAGTTAAGTCATGGGGCTGGGCCTGCTGGCCAGGGGGTGGTTGGAGTTCTGTTTTCATATCTACAGAGGCTGTGTACTTCGGTTTGTGGGGCCTCTGGCCCTGTAGGTTCTCTTGCTAAGGAATCTGCTACTACTTTGCTAGGACCAGGAAATGGCTTACTAGTACAGAACGTGTGGAAGAATGGGGTCTTTGATGTGATTTGACATTTTTTGATGAACAGTGCATACCAGGCTGAAGGTAATGCTAGGGGCAGCAAAGGTTGGGGTTTGAGATGCAGTTTCCTGTGACTGAGCTGGAGTGTGGAAGCAGAGAAGGCACCCTGTGAGCAGCTTGCAGAGGCAAGGTGGTGAGGATCCTGACAGTGCTGCAGGGATGGGATGGGATGGGATGGGACAGGACGTGGAGCTGGGGGTGGTTGCTAAGTTGATGCAGGGAGAGTGGAAGGAAGCAATTGAGAACTGAAGGGTAGGAAATAGTTTCTGATGTGAAGAAAAAGGGCATAGCTGCAGAGAGCCTGAATGATTGAAGGTTGGCATCAAAGTCACGAAGTGGGGAGGCTTTTCTGTTCAGCTGTGCTCAGGGCAGAAGTTGTAGTCTTTCAGCCAGTAGCCTTGGGAAGGGAGGTGGGATGAAACTCAGGCTTGGCCTATTTTTCCAGAGGATCCACTTGGGTTGTGATATTATAGAAAATGTGGCAGTCTTGCTGTGAGCCTTGTTAGGCATAACATTTGGAAACTTGGCAAATTTTACGTAAAGGTCTGGATTTCCAGCCTCTTGAAATACCAGAAGCAGCAGTAGTAGCCCACCTTCCTGTTTGATAACAATTGGCAGGGCTCCAGGCTGGCTGCATCTGTTGGGACAGGTATTCTCTGGTCTCCACAGCCTTTGCTCCTACGGCCAGCTAACACCCTCCTCTACCTGCCCTCTGGTCTTCTGTCCCTGCTGCCTGCTTCTCTTCCATCTAGTCCATCCAAGTGTTTTTTGGGGAAGTCACCTGGTACCTTGTTAGGGTTAATTTGTCTTTTAAATTGGGCTCCCAAGGGTATCTGCTAGCTACCCTGGCTCACAAGGCTATTTTGAGGCTGAGGATGTAACAACTGTGAAAACAGTTTGGAAACTAGTGCTAAGCAATTGTTTGTCAGGAAGCAGGGACTTGTGGGAACTCAAACTGTGGACAGATTCAGCACATTGTAGGCCCTCACAGTAACCAGGCTACCCTGTGCTGTCAGCAGGCTTTGGAAGAGCCTCCATAAAATGCAAACTTGACTTTACTAAGCTGAATCAATATTGAGGGAGCACATCCCTTCCTTCAGCTTGTCACTGATGGGAAGCTGTGGCTTAGAGAGAGCAGGGATCTTTGAAGAGTGATGAGAAACTCAGCTAGAGGTGGTTCTGGGAAGGTACCTGCAGTGAATATTTGGGGTGCTGCTTTTTAGCTTTTCCTAGCACCACAACCATGAGTTCTGTTTGTAGCTGGATGTGCCTATGTAATCAGGCAGCTTTCAACTCTGCACTCTTCCTTTCTTCCCTGGCAAGTTGCTTATTTTAGGCTGCCCTTAAAGACAGCATCTTACATGGTGCTCTCATGGAGCCGAAACAGGTGCTGTCCTAAACTCTGAACAACGATCTCCATTAATCTGCGCGCGCACACACATACACACATATTTTTTTTGAGATGGAGTCTCACTGTCACCCAGGCTGGAGTGCAGTGGCAGAATCTTGGCTCACTGCAAGCTCTGCCTCACGGGTTCACGCCATTCTCCTGCCTCAGCCTCCCAAGTAGCTGGGACTACAGGTGCCCGCCACCATGCCCGGGTAATTTTTTGTATTTTTAGTAGAGATGGGGTTTCACCATGTTAGCCAGGATGGTCTCGATCTCCTGACCTTGTGATCCGCCTGCCTTGGCCTCCCAAAGTGCTGGGATTACAGGTGTGAGCCACCGTGCCCGGCCTAATCTGCATGTTAACTCCAAGAAGCATGTCTTCCTGGACCCACGCTGGAAAGGGTGTAGAGCAGTTAAGCATCTTACCAGTGTCTCACCCATGAAGTGGTGGGGATGGGATTGGAATGCAGTCATCTGACTCCAAAACACTGCATTTTTTCAGGCACTCCAGTATTAAGCTACTTTGCACTGTGCATATAATGGTATATAAAACTCATGACTGCCAGCAGGGTGCCAGTTGCCATGGGTTTATTGAACAAGTGTTAGATGGCTAGCCAAATTCCCAATTTACTGACCACCTGCTGTGTCCCTGTTCTGCAAGTTGGGGATAAAGAAGCTGTTCTGTCTTGAAAGCTCTGAGGTAGTTAATGACGATCCCATGATCTGGCTTCTGTTCCTTTCTGTGAAGTAGCAGATAGTGTATGACTGTGACGTGATAGAAATTGAGAGCCAAGAAGATCAGTGCAGGGAGGCTGGGTCTTGGAAGGCTTCCAGGAGACATACAGCAGTCCCCACCTATCTAGTTTCAGTTGCTGTCGGTCAACTGCAGTCTGGAAAATTATCATGGCTAAATGGTCTGGGATCACCCAAAAGTGATGATCCTCTTGAAGTGTCATCAGAAGGTCAATAGTAGCCTAACACGTCACCATGCCTACGTCATTTACCTCCCTCTCCCTTCCACATAGGCATTTTATCTCCCATCAAGAATGTGAATACATGTACGTATTCAGAGGAAAAGAGTTCATGCAGCCTACTACAGTATAATTATTAATATCTTACTCCCTAAATTATGAACTTTAATTATGTATATATAGCAACAAACTTGGTGTAGATAGGGTTTGCGGTTTCAGGCATCCACTGGGGGTCTAAGAACGTTTGCCCCATGGATAAGGGAGGATTACTGTAACACCAGCAGTGGCAAGAGACATGATCTGATTTGGATGCACAGGAGAAAGTTCTCATTTGAGGCCATGAAAAATAGGAAAGAAAGCAGGGAGATGGGAGCAGGCAGTGTGGGACAAGGTGAGACCAGTCATTCTGCAAGGGGAAGAGAGGATGACACTGGGGAGGTGGGAGCAGAGTGGGTAGGTAGGCATTCTCTTGAATCAACAAGATGGAAGGCCCTACATGACTGATGCCTTTGAGCAGAGTTTTGCACAATGCATTTCTGGTGGGAGATACTCCATTTCAAAAATAGTCTTCAGGTTGGCTGCTAGAGCACAGAAGTATGACACCTGACTCATTTGTGCTGGCAGAGAGGCTCTCCTGGGTTTTAGAGCTTTGTGAACACACCTCCATACATTAATCCAACTGTCCTTCCCCATCCACTCACCCTTGAACTTCCCGCATGCCAGATGTTGAGGGGAGGCAGAAATGAGACCTGCCTCCCAGTGCCCACAGTCTGGATGAGAGGGTACAGGTGAGGTCCTGGTAAGAAACGAAGCTGGAGAGGTCAGCGGAGAATAAATCAGGGAGGATCTTGTATGCCAAGCTAAGGATTTCACTTGTTCAGTGTTTTGGTTAAAGAAAATAAAACGTTGGAGAATTAGATGTTCTGCAGTGGATTGTGTGTTCTTTTCACATGCCGAGTTCCTCCACACAGGAAATACTTTGGCAACGCTCTGGCTGCTCATCATGCATATTGGAGAGGGAATTTATGTAGAAGGTTATGGGTCGATGAGATGGCATCCAAGTATTTATCGTATTTTTTTGAGATGGAGTTTCACTCTTGTTGCCCCGGCTGGAGTGCAATGGCACGACCTCAGCTCACTGCAACCTCCGCCTCCTGGGTTCAAGCAATTCTCTGCCTCAGCTTCCCGAGTAGCTGGGATTACAGGCATGTGCCACCATACCTGGCTAATTTTGTATTTTGTAGTAGAGACGGAGTTTTTCCATGTTGGTCAGGCTGGTCTTGAACTCCTGACCTCAGGTGATCTGCCCACCCCGCCTCCCAAAGTGCTGGGATTACCGTCGTGAGGCACCGCGCCTGGCCCCAAGTATTAATAACTCGGAAAAAGGGACCAGATCAGGAATCAGGAGTCACAGTTCCTGATCTCCACTCAGCTTACAATCAGCTGGGGCCATGGATGGGCAAAAGACTTCCCTTTTCTGGGCTTCTATTTCCCTCCCTGTGTCTGTCTGCTATCCGGGCTAGATGAGTAATTCCGAAACCTGGCAGGTGGGGGCTTTCTTTTTTTCTTTTTGTGAGATGGAGTGTTGCTTTGTCACCCAGGCTGGGGTGCAGTGGCACTGTTTTGGCTCACTGCAACCTCTGCCTCCTGAGTTCAAGCGATTCTCCTGCCTCAGTCTTCTGAGTAGCTGGAACTACAGGCGCCTGCCACCATGCTTGGGTAATTTTTTGTATTTTTAGTAGAGATGGGGTTTCACCATGTTGGCCAGGCTGGGGGCTTGTTAAAAATACAAATGCTGGCTGGGTGTGGTGGCTTATACCTGTAATCCCGGCACTTTGGGAGGCTGAGGCGGGTGGATCACTTGACGTCAGGAGTTCGAGACCAGCCTGGCCAACATGGTGAAACATCTCTACTAAAAATACAAAAATTAGCTGGGCGTGGTGGTGCGTGCCTGTAATCTCAATTACTCAGGAGGTGGAGGCACGAGAATTGCTTGAACCCAGGAGGCGGAGGTTGCAGTGAGCCGAGACCATGCCACTGCACTCCAGCCTGGGTGACAGAGCGAGGCTCTGTCTCAAAAACAACAAATGCCCAGCCTCTTGCCCCAGTTTTCAGAGTTAGTAGATCTGGGTAGCGCCCAAGCACCTGATGTTTTAATAGCTTCCCAGGTGAGGCTGCTTCAGGAAACTGGACTGAAGCTTCCCAGGTGAGCTCAGGCTTGGGAAGCTGGACTGAAGTTTCTCTAAGATCCGTTCTGCCTCTGAGAATTCTGTCTCTAATGGGAATACTGTCTCTGCCCTCAAGAAGCTGGCAGATGAACAGTAATACTATTGCTAATTAATGACCACAGAATAGCTAACATTTATTGTTTACCATGTGCCAGGTACTGAGCTAAGTCTTGCACAAATTATCTCATTTACCTTTTTTTTTTTTTTTTTTTGAGAATGAGTCTCGCTCTGTCACCCAGGCTGGAGCTCTGGATTGCACCAGTGGCGCAATCTCAGCTCACTGCAACCTCCACCTTCTGGGTTCAAGTGATTCTCCTGCCTCAGCCTCCATAGTAGCTGGGATTACAGGTGTGTACCACCACACCTGGCTAATTTTTGTATAGTAGAGACAGGGTTTCTCCATGTTGGCCAGGCTGGTCTTGAACTCCAGACCTCAGGTGACCCACCTGCCTCAGCCTCCCAAAGTGCTGGGATTACAGGCATGATCCACTGCACCTGGCCTCATTTACCTGCACTCGGAGGGAAGTACTATTACCCCCATTTTATAGATGAGGAAATTGAGGCTCAAAGAGGTTAAGGAACTTGGTTAAAGTTACACAACTATGGCATCCTATGATAAGCCTGGGGGCATTTGTGGAACATCTTGCCAAGGAGCTAGAAATGGTCCTGAGCCTTAAATGGGTGGAGGTGATTAGCTGAGGCAGCGATTCTCCAGGTGTGGTCCTGGACAGCAGCAGCAGTGTCACCAGGGAACTTGCTAGAAATTCAATTTCTTGGGCTCCACCCTAGAATTACTGAATCAGAAGCTGTGGGTGGGGCCAGGTAACCTGTTTTTTTTTTTGAGTTGCCCAGGCTGGAGTGCAGTGGCGTGATCTTGCTTCACTGCAACCTCCGCCTCCTGGGTGCGATTCTCCACCTCAGCTTCCTGAGTAGCTGGGACTACTGGTGCCTGCCACCACGCCTGGCTAATTTTTTTTTTTTTTGTACTTTTTAGTAGAGATGGGATTTCACCATGTTGGTCTGGCTGGTCTTGAACTCCTGACGTCAGGTGATCCGCTGGCCTCGGCCTCCAAAAGTGCTGGGATTATAGGTGTGAGCCACCGCGTCCAGCCAGAACCTGTGTTTTGATAAGCTCTCCAGGTGATTCAGATGCATGCTAAAGTTTGAGAACCACTGAGCTTAGGGAAGGGGAGGATATTCCAGAGGGGGACAGCTGTGGAGACCCGGTAGGACAGTGCTGTAGACTGCCCCATCCCTGCCTTTTCACTTGGTGAAATAAAGACGTGTGATGCACTATGCAGACTCCCACAAGGGGGCACTGTGGGCACAGACGTGGAAGCGGTCTGCTTTGTTGTCAAGACCGCTACCCTTGTGGAAGCATGAAAAAAGCTTGATGCCAGATCAACTGGAGAGGTCACTCTTTCTTCTCAGAGAAGGTCTAATGGGGGTGGTAATCTTGTTTATAGGATTCGGCCCTCGTAGGGAAGCTGAACCTGGAGGGCTTTCTGCTGTTCATATGTGCATGGTGATGTCTACCCATCCGTGCTGCGAGGTCTCTGCAGATCCTGTGCAAACAGCATTCCCCCTTTTGTAGCTGCCCAGCCAGGCAGCTTGCGGTTTCTATTGGGGGAGGTGGGGGCCGAAGGCTGGGAACCCCAGCAGCCCGATTCTGCTTCAGCCTTCTGCCTACAGTGCTATGCCTCTGTCCTATTCTTTGACAAGCATGGGTCCGGGGCCACAGTGCTGGGTCCAAGACCTGTTTTCAAGCCTTAGCTCTGCCCCACCACACTTTAAGATCTCTGGCAAGACCCCTTTCTCCTCTGGGTCTCAGTTTCCTACACTGTAGGATGAGAGAGTGGTGCTGAGAAAGTGGCTGTCAACATCTCTTTCCACTATAAAATTCTGCCCTGGGAGTTGAGGAAGAGACTGCCTTGTGCTTTTCAAGGACCTCGGATTGCAGGGGATCTGTAAACCCTGCTACATGACATCCATCTCCAGTAGCCACTTAAGGAAGCATTTCCAGGGATATGGTGCAAGTCAGTAAGGTGGAATCTCTCAAACAAGATTTTTTAAAAAGTCCATATCTTCAGACATCCAGAATTTGCTTTTATAGGTTTCTATTCTGCACTGTTTGGAAGAAGGAAAATTTATACCATGTTCTCTTTTCTGCTGCAGTGTGTATTTCTTCCAAAAATACATTGCCTCGGAGGGTCTTTGGCATTCACCTCGTTAATCCAGGGATTGGCATCCTATACTCTCGGTGACTGCTCACCCAGCTGAGCCACTGCTCTGCCTGGGCAGGAAATCTCCAGAACTGCCTTTTCAGAGCGCTATAGATGTGCTCATCCCTGGGTTATAAGGGGATTCAAAAGAGTGGTCCAGCCCTCTGCTGGCTCCCACCGTCGATGATGATATTCAGAGAGTCTGGTTAGAAATTGCCCAACCCAGCCGCGTGCGGTGGCTCACGCCTGTAATCACGTTGGGAGGCCAAGATGGGCAGATCACAAGGTCAGGAGTTCGAGACCAGCTTGGTCAATATGGTGAAACCCCGTCTCTACTAAAAACACAAAAATTAGCCGGGCATGGGGGCATGCACCTGTGGTCCCAGCTGCTCAGGAGGCTGAGGCAGAAGAATCGCTTGAACCTGGGAGAGGGAGGTTGCAGTGAGCCGCGATTGCACCACTGCACTCCAGCCTGGGCGACAGAGCGAGAGTCCATCTCAAAAAAAAAAAAAAAAAAAAAATTGCCCAACCCATAGGCAAACATTGTTAACTGCAGCTGTCCTTGGTGGAGGAAACAAGTTAAACATGATGTCTCTTTCCATCAGGCCTCCTTGGAGCGGGGAAGGAGAGCTCTTCAGTTCCTTTGGCACCTTCACGCAGCATGCAAGACGGGCTGCTTTTTCTTCTGTTTATGGATGAGGCACAGAGGGTAGATGACTTGCCCCAAGTCCTTCAGCTCATTCATGCTGGGGAAAGGAGTAAGCTTCAGGCGTCTTCCCCTGGAGTTCACGCCACCTCTGACAGCAAGTGAGCCGTTTGCTACTCAAGTGCTGTTTCTTGCTTTTTTAAGGTAACAAAACACTGCATGCTGTCTGGGGTACCTTTTCCCTGCTGTTCAGTTCATTGCCCTGTGTCGTCTCACAGAGCGTGTCACTGGTACAGAAATGTTCCCTGGGAAGCTAGAGTTGAAACATCGCCCACTGGTGCTCCTGAGCTGGCTTTGTCATGGGTTTAGAGGGTATGTTAGGGAGGAGGCCTTCTGCTGCAAGTCTCTGAGAAGTCAGCTTACACTGCCTTGAACAGTGAGGTTGCTTATTAGCTCCTGTAAGAACCCCCTGGATGCCCAGGAGCCTTCAGGGTTGGTGGACACTGCAGTTTAACAGCGTCTTCGAGGGCCTAGACGTTTTCTCTCTCCACTTTGCTGCCAATGCTGGTGCCATTCTGAGGGATAGTTGCCCATCACAGTGGGGCTGGGACTGGGTGAGGCAATGAAGCGCTTAGCATGTGAAATCCAAGGAGGTCTTCACCCACAGTGGTGCTAGTGCAAGGTCAGCATCTCCTTGACCCTAAGAGCACCTTGCCCTAGTACTGGGGCCTGTGGGAGGCCACCCACTCTCCACAAAGGCCAGACCAGAAGTCACCTGTGTTTTTTCTGCTCCTCTTCCATCGGCTGGGACTTAGTCTCCTGCAACACCTAATAACTGTGAGGTGGGCTGGGAAATATAGGCTTGTTCCAGCTCAGGCAGATGTGGGAGCACAGTTTTGGGGGACAATGACCAGTCTTTGCCACAGCAGGAAGAAAATGGTTGCTTCATAGGGATCCTTTCAGCAGAAACCTCCCAGCAAAAGGGGGAAGTTTACTGGGAAGCTGTGGGTGATCTAACAAAGCCAAAAGGTAGGCGGTGCTGGCAGCCTCCCTGGATTTGGGTCTGGAAAATCATTTCAGAACAAATCAGCTCTTCCTTCTCCCCTCCTTCCTCCTTCCCCCTCTTTGAGTCTATGCCTCTCTCTCTCTCTCTACAGGCTGGCTTTTCTTTGTTCCCCTTTCTGCCCCATGGCTGCCACAACCAGGATTTTATTGCTCCCCATTCCAAACTTCCGGCCAGATTAGTTAGACCTGCATCCTCCTTGCCACTTCCCAGGGACAAGATGCTGACTGGTCTGTCAGCTCATGGAGCCCACTCCCACTTACCTGGGGCTGAGGAGCACCTGCTGGGAAGGTTTGAGGGCAGGAGGGCTGCTGATGTATCCAATGCAGCCACCACTCCCACCGCTGAGACATCTGTCTTTCTTTCCTTCTTGTCACTCCCAGACCTCAGCAAGTGGCCGCTTTAAAAAGAGAATAAGAGCTTTATTGAGGTTTAATTCACAGACCATATATTCACCCTTGTAAAGTGTGCAATTCAATGGGTTTCAATGTATTTGCAGAGTGGTGCAACCACCACCACCACCTAATTTTTAAACATTTTGATTTTTATTTGGTCTCACTCTGTCACCCAGCCTGGAGTGCAGTGATGTGATCATAGCTCGTTGCATCCTCGAACTCCTAGGCTAAAGTAATTCTTCCACTTCAGCCTCCCACATAACTAGGACTACAGGTGCACAGCACCAGGCCCAGCTACTTTTTTTTTCTTTTTTTTTAGTTTTTGTAGAGACAGAGTCTCTACATTATGTTGCGCCTCCTGGCCTCAAGCTATCCTCCCACCACACCTATTCATTTTTGATCATTTTTATTATGCCAAAAAGAAACCCTTAGCCCGGCAGGTGTCTCATGCTTATAATCCCTGCACTTTGGGAGGCTGAGGCGAGCAGATCACCTGAGGTCAGGCGTTCGAGACCAGCATGGCCAACCTGGCAAAACCCTGTCTCTACTAAAAATAAAAAATTAGACGGGCATGGTGGTGAGCACCTGTAATCCCAGCTACTTGGGAGGCTAAGGCAGGAGAATCCCTTGAACCTGGAAGGCAGAGGTTGCAGCGAGCTGAGATTGCGCCACTGCACTCCAGCCTGGGCAACAGAGTGGGTGAGACTCTGTCTCAAACAACAACAAAAAGAAACCCTGTAGACATTAGCAGTCTCTCCCTATTTCCCTCAACCTCTGCCCCAGCCCCTGGCAACCACAAATCTGTTTTCTGTTTTTATAAATTTGTCTATTCTGGAAACTTCATATAAATGAAATCATATAGTGTATATAGGTTTTTATGACCGGATTCTTTCACTCAGCCTAATGTTTCCGTGCTATGTCCACACCGTAGCATGTATCAGTAATTTATTCCTTTTAATTACCAAGTAACATTCCCTTGTGTGGATTTACCACGTCAACATCAGTTGATGGATATTTGTGTTGTTTCTGCTTTTTGGCTATTCTGAATAATTTTGCAGCTATGAAAATTCATGTGCAAGTTTTTGTGTGGATGTTTTCACTTCTCTTGGGTATATACCTCGGGGTGGAATTGCTGGGCCTTATGGTGACTCTCTGGTTAACTGTTTTCCACAGAGGCAGCACCATTTTATGTTCCCACCAGCAATGTACGAAGGTTCTAATTTCTCCACATCCTTCCTGACACTTGTTATTATCTGTACTTGATTTTAGCCATGCAAGTAGGTATGAAGTGGTATCTCATTATGGTTTTGATTTGCATTTCATAATAACTAATGGTGTTGAGCATCATTTCATCTGCTTATTGGCTGTTTATATGTCTTCTTTAGAAAAATGCCTGTTTGAATCCTTTGCTTATTTTCAAATGGGGTGATTTGTCTTTTTATTGTGTTGTGTTAGTTTATATATCCTGGATGCAAATCTCTTATCAGATATATGGTTTGCAAATATTTTCTCCTATTCTGTGGATTGTCCATTTTTAAAATTTATTTATTTATTTATTTATTTTGAGACAGGGCCTTGCCCTGTCGCCCAGGCTGGAGTACAGTGGCTTGATCTCGGCTCACTGCAACCTCTGCCTCCCAGGTTCAAGCAATTCTCGTGTCTCAGCCTCCTGAGTAGCTGGGATTATAGGCATGCACCACCATGCCTGGCTAATTTTTGTATTTTTAGTAGAGACGGGGTTTCACCAT
Source organism: Homo sapiens (assembly GCF_000001405.40). Classification (NCBI taxonomy): domain Eukaryota; kingdom Metazoa; phylum Chordata; class Mammalia; order Primates; family Hominidae; genus Homo; species Homo sapiens. Next base: position 78,052,228 of record NC_000010.11, read on the forward strand.
GTTGGCCAGGCTGGTCTCGGACTCCTGGCCTCAAGTGATCCACCTGCCTAGGCCTCCCAAAGTGCTGGGATTACAGGTGACCGCCACCACCCCCGGCTTAGTTCTTGGTTTTTCTGTCCTTGGAAACTGCTGTCAGGGTTCCCGAGAGACTTTGAATGTAACAATAATACCTTCCTTTTATTGAGTGCCTACTATTCACTGTGTTGGGCACATTGTATATATTACCTTTTGTCCTGGAAATAGTTTTACAAGGTGGGGATTATTGTCCCCATTTCATAGTGTGATGAGGATGCTAAAAAAAAGCAAATGTTGCCTCTAGCTGCCGCCATGGGAGGTAGGCACCTGGAGCGAAGGCACGGCAGGTTCTGCTCTGCCCTATCTCCCTTTGGACCCCTTCTAGGGGTTATGTTGGATTTGGAAGCCACGAGGAGGAGTCTACTCAGACAAGAGCATCCTGATGGGGGCTGCCTTGAGATGATGGGGTGTAAGCCCTGTTTAGCTGGAAATGAGGAGAGAGAGACGTACCCTTGGTCAAGGGCTATCATGTGAAAGAAGGGTAACATTTGTCCTGGAGTGTGGAGTGTGAAGCATATGGGGAAATGGTTTGGGCTGGATAGCAGGCAGTTTTTAAAACTTGGAGCAAGCCGGGCGCAGTGGCTCATGCCTATAATCCCAGCACTTTGGGAGGCCGAAGTGGGTGGATCACCTGAGGTCAGGAGTTCGAGACTGTCCTTACCAATATGGTGAAATCCCACCTCTACTAAAATACAGAAGATTAGCCAGATGTGGTGGAGGGCGCCTTGTAATCCCAGCTGCTTGGGAGCCTGAGGCAGGAGAATCGCTTGAACCTGGGAGGTGGAGGTTACAGTGAGCTGAGATTGTGCCATTGCGCTTCAGGCTGGGCAACAAGAGTGAAATTCCGTCTCAAAAAAACAAACAAAAACAACAACAACAACAACAAAAAAAAAAAAAGAAAAGAAAAAAACCTCGGAGCTAATGGAAGGGGCCTGCCCCCTGGGAAGCAGCAAGCTTCCTGTTGCTGGTGGTACACAAGCAGAGCCTGGCTGCTTTCTAGGTGAGGTGGTTGTAGAAGCTCTTTGGGTTCAGAGTCCTGGGGGGGTTTTAGGGTTTCCTTGAATGCCCAGAGCCTGTATGTCATAGCTTCTGATTTCACAGGGACTTCCTGTCCACGCAGCTGGGATCTCTCCCAGCCCAGATTCATCATGTCTCACCCATCCTGAGGGCTAAATTTGGAATTTAATAACAACACTTTGGATTTATGTGGCCCGTTTCCTTGGAGGCATTACATCTGTTATCCCATTAATTCTCCTAATATCTTTGGGTGGAAGGTGAGGGAAGGTGAGGGAGCCTGAGAGGGGAGAAGGAACCTCTTTGGCTTCTTCAGCTCCTGAAGGGGAGAGGAAATGGCAGAGCAGGAGCGGGCCGGGGATGGGGGAACGTCTGCACCACAGCCCCTCTGGCTTTCCCCTCTCATAAAAAGCAGGTTGCTCACCGGATGAAGGGGTGTCTCCCAGCAGGAAGCTCCTGTGTTGGGCACAGTATATTGGTGCATAAGTCTCCAGGTGGACTCTTTGAGGGCTGGAAGTGGGTAGACATCAAGGTGGGCAAGATGAAGCCTGAGCCCTAAGCTTGGGAGGAGACCAACATGTCTACCACGAACCAATTTGCAGAGCTGGATGGTCTGGAGGAAGCAGTATGGCTTCCTGGGGAAGGGGGATTTGAGCTGAGTTTGGAAAGAGTCCTGGAGCACCCTGGAGTCCAGTTTCCTACCTCCTAGTCACGTGGTGTGGGTGAAGGCCATACCTTGGTGAGCTTTCCCAGGGTATGGGGGTGCCTAGGGTGCTCCTCAAGATCCTAAGGCTTGGCCTGGAGTGCTGTTGGGCGAATGGCCAGAGAGTCTGGGCAGGCAGAGGAGGGCTGGGGACTAGTGCAGGGAAGGAGCCGCTGGCACTGGCCATGAAGAAGGAGTGGGAAGGGAAGGGAAGGGTGGCCCAGGTGGAGGGCTCTGTGGGGCAGAGGCAGATTGGTGTGGGGGTTCTTGTCTACTCCAGACTATGCTGTTTTCATTCCTGCCTCTGTTCTGAGGCTTGAACTCCTGCAGGTACCTGGCTTTTACAGCCCTCCCAAGTGCCCTTCCTTCAAGCTTTGGCTCTGACTGCTGCTGATCTTCCCTGGTACCAAGTGAGGGAGGTGCAGAATCCCAGGCCACAGGCGCAGAACAGGGCGGCTGGAAGGCACCTGGACAATCCTCTGAGACTATTCTCTCCTTCCCGCTTTTGCAGATGAGGGAATTGGGGCTTGGAGTGCAAGCATTGGGAAGAATTTCCCAGGAAGAGAGATGCACAGATGTGAAGAACTCGAAGGCAAGAGAAAGCCGGGGGGTTGTGTGGCAGGTAGAAGTGCCAGGACCGTGGAGCGTGTGGACATGTGGCAGATTGCGGAGGGGCTGTGGCAAGTATTTACAGGTGGCCGTTACCTGGAGGAAGACTGAAAACAGAGAACAGTGCTGCCAGGCGTGCCTTTTGGAGAGGGCACTGGTCAGAAACGGAGCCTTCATGTCGCCTGCCTCACCTGCTCCTGCTGGTTCTCCCCACCCTGTGGACGGTGACTTGGTCCTCCACTTGCCAGAAGCCTTGTCAGCAACCTTGACTCTGTCACCCCACATCCAGGCCATCAACAAGTCTTTTGGCCCTTTCTTTGAAATCCACCAGGAATCCAGCTGCTTCTCCCCACCTTCCTGCCTCTCTGGTCTGGGCCACTAATGTCACTGCCATGGCCGCCTTGCTGCATTTCTGAGGATGCTTCATCTCTCCACCTTCTTCTCCACTCAGCAGCCAGCAGGGCACTGTGGAAATCGGAGTCACATGAGCTGGCACCTCTGTTCAGAACCCTCCAGGGCTCCACATCTCTCTCACCCAAATGCCAAAGACCTCCCCACGCCCCCACAATCCCCCACGACCTGGCCACTGGCCTCCCACCACCTTCCAGCTCCAGCGGCTCCTACCACATTTAAGGCTTTCCTTCCTAGTTTTAATTTTTCCTCGTCAGCAGTTGATTTTATTATTTTCTTGTTTATTGGTATTTTCCCACTAGAAATGAAGCTGCGTGAAGTTAGAGATTTTTTTTTTTGGTCTGTGTTCCTAATTAGCTCATTGCTATACCCCTGGCGCCCAGAACAATGCCTTGGACACAGTACGCAGTAGACTAAATAAATACTTGTTGAATGACTGACTGACGGAATGACGGCTGTGTGGGGAGTGGATTGGGTCGTGAGGCAGAGGCTGCGGTGGAAACTCAGGCAGGAGGTGATGGTGGTTCTTGGGGCTGCGGAATGCCAAGTTTAGAAGCTCTTCCTCTGCTGTGGCACATGAACCGGTCACTCGAGAAGGCTTTTAGATTTACTTTGCCTAATCCCCTCTTAGTGCATGTGGGGAAACTGAGGTACACAAAAGGAATTCCCCACCAAGTTAGGGGCAGAACCTAGCCCCCTTGTCTCCCAGATGGATATCTTCTTTTTTTTTTGAGACGGAGTCTTGCTCTGTTGCCCAGGCTGGAGTGCAGTGGTACCATCTTGGCTCACTGCAACCTCTGCTTCCCAGGTTCAAGCGATTCTCCTGCCTCAGCCTCCTGAGTGTCTGCGATTACAGGTGCACACAACCACGCCTGGCTAATTTTTGTATTTTTAGTAGAGACGGGGTTTCACCGTGTTGGTCAGGGTGACCTCAAACTCCTGACCTCATGATCCACCCAGCTCAGCCTCCCAACGTGCTGGGATTACAGGCATGAGCCACCGTGCCTGGCTGGACATCTTGTTATTAAAGCTTCTTCTCTCTTTGTAGGGGAGGGGGAGATGCCTCTGGTGGAGAAGACCAGTGTGGCAGTGACTGTGTCTGTTAGTGAACCTGGTGGCTGGTTGAGGGTCTGTCGTGGTGACTGAGGACACATACAAAGTGCTTTTCTCAGTGGTCACCTTGGTGTTGGTGAATAAGGGTCAGAAGATGGCTCCTGTCCTAGGGCACTGCCAGTCGGTTTGGAAGCTGAAATGCCTGCTTAGCAGTTTGAGGAAACACAGACCTTGGAGGATCTTCTGGTTGCCTCTTCAAGAATTCATTCTATTCCCCTTCTGCTCCCCAAATTTGCTTTTCTTGGGGTGGGTCTTGGTTGGCCTAAGCCAAGAAAGTATGGCATCTACTCCTTCCATAGCAATAGCTCAGGAATAGGCAGTGACCCAGACCTGAACCAATCAGTGCATGGAATTACCCCTGGCCAAAGTGGTTGATTGAGGCTGGGTGCAAGCAGAGTTGTGAGAAGGCTCCCATTTGGTGGTTGGAGAGATCGCACTTGCTCCAGAGGTCATAATGTGCAGATCTGAGGCTTGGAACTGCTGCAGACATTTTGCTACCACAAGTGAAGCCACCCTGACGACACAGTTGACAATTTGGAGCAGGGCAGAGCTGAGAGAACAGCAGGGAAACAGCCAGAGTCTTGCTCAAGCCTCCCTGAAGTATCTATACCCCTGGACTCTAGTTATGGGGGCTAATAAATGTTATATACTGTTTAAGGTAGTTTGAGTTGGTTTATCTGTCATTCGTTATTGAAAAAACATTTTTTTTTCGGCTGGGTGTGGTGACACACACCTGTAGTCCCAGCTGCTTGGGAGGCTGAGGCAGGAGGACCGCTTGAGCCCAGGAGGCAGAGGTTGCAGTGAGCTGAGATAGTGCCACTGCACTCACTCTGGCAACAGAGCAAGACTGTCTCAAAAAGAAAAGAAAAAAAAATTTCCATTTTCATCAAAAATTGTATTAAAGATTTTCTATGTGGTGGGTTCTATAATATATTCTTATAGGGAATAAGACCTATATTATCCTTCCCCTCCGAGAGCAATGAAAAAAACACAAATACTGAGGTGGGCAGATCACTTGAGCTCAGGAGTTCGAGACCAGCCTGGGCAACATAGTGAGGCCTGTCTCTATTAAAAAACAAAAAGAAAAGAAACACAAATATCACACATAATTATAGACAAACACATAGCCAAGTTGAGGAAGAACAGAAACAAAACCAAAACAGTTTTTCTGGGCTGATCACTGATCAGATAGAGATCATTTACTTGCCTGGCCTTTGCTCTAAAGATCTGGTTTCATGTTGGTTTTCTCCATGTTACTCATGAACCCCAGGAATTCTGGAAAATTCTTACCTTTCTAAGATCAAGAGTAGGTGTAGCAGTAGGAGCACTTTGAGTGTCAGGGTGACAGAGCCCAGAGGCAAGGCCCATCTGCAGGAAGCGAAGTGACAAGTTGCTGGGTGGCCCCTTGTGTGATCCTAGCATTGTCAAGGAAGAAATCTTAACTGATATTTGGGTGATAGGGAATCATGGGGAAGTGTGGGTGTGGATGGGGACAGCCAGAGACAGATGTGACTATTTTTTTCTTTTTCTTTCTTTTTTTTTGGAGGCAAGGACTCACTCTGTTGCCCAGGTGGGAGTGCAGTGGCTTGATCAAAGCTCACTGCAGCCTTGACCTCCTGGGCCCAAGTGATCCTCCTACCTCAGGCTCCTAGGTAGCTGGGACCACAGGCGTGTGCCACCATGCCTGGCTAAAATACATATATATATGTGTGTGCGTATATATATAAAATATATATGTGTAAATATATAAAATACATATGTACATATATTTTATATACTTATATATAAATATATACAATATATATGTACTATATATATTTTATATATATATATATATATTTCTTTTTGAGTCAAGGTCTTGCTCTGTCACCCAGGCTGGAGTGTAGTGGTGTGATGATGGCTCACTGCAGCTTCAACCTCCTGGGTTCAAGAGGTACTCCTGCCTTGCCTCCTGAGTTGCTGGGACCACAGGCACACACTACCACACTTGGCTAATTTGTTTTTCCTATTTTTTGTAGTGACAGGGTCTCCCTGTGTTGTCCAGGCTGGTCTCGAACTCCTGGACTGAAGCAATCTTCCCACCTCGGCCTCCCAAAGTGCTGGGATTACAGCCGTGAGCCACCACATCCAGCCAGCTAATTGTTTTTTATTTTTGTAGAGAGGTGATCTCCCTTTGTTGCTCAGGCTGGTCTCGAACTCCTGAGCTCAAGTGATCCTCCCTCCTTGGCCTCTCAAAGTGCTGGGATTACAGGTGTGAACCACTATGCCTGGCCAGATGTGACTTTTGCTTGAAATGTGCTCCAGAGCCCTGCCTAAGTCCCGCTCCTCTGAGAAGCCTTCTGTCCCACCAGGTCTGGAGGGCAAGTGCCAAGAAATGCTCTGAGCTGTTTCTTCCTGAAAGTGGGGCAGCTTGGGCTGTCAGCATGGTTTCTAGCACCGTTGGGGCCATGGAAAGAAATCTGTCTTCCTACAGAGTCACTGGCTTTTTATCCTTCCCCTTCTGTCCGTGGACATGTACCCTCTTGGGAGAGTATTGATCAGAGGGGACAGCACTGATCATGCCTTTGCCGGAGGTCTGTGCACACATCCGCATGGGCACCTGTTAGCATGTGCTTGCTAGAGCTACAGATGGCTTCCTGCTGCCCCACAGGTGGGGTTCTTTACCTTACTTTGCCCCTTGGTGGGTGGTGACCAGTGGGCTCCTTCCTGGAATATTTATGCATGCGGAAAAAACATGAACTTACAAAGAAAACCAAGTCTATTCAAGTACACTTAGCAAAATTAACATTTGTGATGAAGTAACAAATGTTTCCTTATTAATGCAATAATAACTATCTTGTGGCAGGTCTAATTACTACTATAATTCAAAGTAGGGATGGAGGCCCTAGTGACATTTGAAATATCTGTAACAGCTGTGATGTTATATGAAAATATCTGTGATTTCTACTGGCCACAAAGTCTCTGGAAGTGCTCAAAGTACAGGGATTTATTATCTACATTCATGATGGAAAAATCTTAGAAAAGAACCAAAAAAACACACAAAAAAGAAAAAAAACAAAAATCTTGGAGGTCAGGGCTGGGCGCGGTGGCTCATGCCTGTAATCCCAGCACTTTGGGAGGCTGAGGCGGGTGGATCATCTGAGGTAGGGAGTTCAAGACCAGCCTGACCAACATGGAGAAACCCTTGTCTCTGCTAAAAATACAAAATTATCCAGGGTGGGGTGGCACATGCCTGTAATCCCAGCTACTCAGGAGGCAGAGGCAGGAGAATCACTTGAACCCGGGAGGCGGAGGTTGCGGTGAGCCGAGATCGCACCATTGCTCTCCAGCCTGGGCAAGAAAAGTCTCAAAAAAAAAAAAAAAAAAATCTTGGAGGTCAGTGAAAATAAAGATGTAACTTTTTTCTTATCCAAGTTCATGGGACCCCTGCATTCTATCCGTGGACCCCATGGGGAGTGGCTGTGCTCCCCAAGTTAAGAACCCCTGGGTGACAGGTACTTTAAGAAATGCTTGTGTGTGTGTGTGTGTGTGTGTGTGTGTATTACATTCTGTAGATATATGCACCTATGCATCTACCAGGATTCTCCTACCCACAGAGAAAGCTACAGGGGACACCTCTTACCACTCCAGGTGGACCTGCTATGCACACACACACACACAGCCACAGGCATGTCAGAGACACACTGCATGTGTACATGCACATGCTCGTATGCAGCACATGGGGTCATGTGCACACACACCCCCGGAGAAGTGTACACACAACTTACACTTATACCTGCCCACAGAGCTGCAGGGACACATGCTCACACACACAAGCATGTGGACACATACTCCTGGCTCTGTACCCAGCGCTTCCTGTACACATGTGCACACAATTCTAAGTCCTAGGCAGGATGGACAGAGGAGGTCAGATTCATGCCATCTGGATACTGTCCCCAGGCACTAAGGAGGCCTAATCCAAGAGGATCAGAATCCTACCCAATCCACTCTCCCCAAGTGCAAACCAAGGAGCCAGTGAAACTCTAATCTGTACCCTAATGGGATTTGATCAACGTCGCTGTGCCACCATGAGTGGGGCTGCCACAGAGCCCTCGATTTGAGCTTGTCTGACCCCGTGGTGAGGGAGTAGGGCAGTGGGCCCAGTACAGTGCGGGCGCCCCCTCAAAGGAAAGCATTCTTCATTGGTAATGAACATTATGTCTGCAGAAACTAATGGCCCAACCTCCTATTCAGTTTATGTAAAATAAAACAGGCCATATGCTGCTGCTTTCAGAGTTTGGGTGTTTAAATTAAATGTTGTTCAATGAATATTCAAGCCCATTTGCTCCAAAGTTGTGCTCAATGTGGTGGTGGCTCTCATCCCCCTCCTTCCTCGCAGCCCCTCCCTGCTCCAGTACCCAGGGTATTAAGCCATTAGAACGGGGTGTGAACATCCAGGCATCTGTCTTCCAACGGAAAGTTGGATATTAAAATGCCGGAGCAGATGACAGTATAAATAAAGACATACAGTGAGAGGCTCGTCTGGTTATTTTTTTGTTTGGTAATTAAGACTGAGGAGGTTTTGACTTAAGTTCTGTCTTATTGAGAAACAGAGATAGGGGGCTGAGATCATTCCACCTCTTCCCTCTTTACTTTGCCCATCTGCCCAGAGAGCGGCTTCTGTGTTGGCCTCCATGTAACTGGCTTATTGACGAGTGTCATGTTGGTGGCATAGAGATGTGAAATGATTTTATTTTTATTTTTATTTTTTTTGAGATAGAGTCTCGCTCTGTCGCCCAGGCTGGAGTGCAGTGGCGCGATCTCTGCTCACTGCAAGCTACGCCTCCTGGGTTCACGTCATTCTCCTGCCGTGGCCTCCCGAGTAGCTGGGACTACAGGCGCCTGCCACCACACCTGGCTAAATTTTTGTATTTTTAGTAGAGACGGGGTTTCACCATGTTAGCCAGGATGGTCTCGATCTCCTGACCTCGTGATCCGCCCACCTCGGCCTCCCAAAGTGCTGGGATAACAGGCATGAGCCACCACGCCCGGCCGATTTTATTTTTCTCCAGCTAACTTCTCTCTGCTGAACTCTGTCAGATTATCCTTAACATGAGCTGGAGCAGAGTCCAGAGTTTTATGGTCAGTTATAACTGAGCCTGGTTCAAAACTGGCTCATCTCTGTTGGAACTCCCACCTTCCCCATCGGAGGCCCGACCGGTGCTTGGGTGAGGGAAGTGGGGAGGGGTAGTGTCTCTTCTCTCATGCCTCTGCCCACTCCAGAGCCTTGGGTCTTCCTGTCTGGGGTTGGAGGCAGGGCTTCCTGTGGGTGGTGGAAGGTGACTCTACTCTGACCCTCCTCTATCAGGGTTTGCTTCCCTGGCTGATGTGGTGGTTTCCATGTAGATGGTGGGGCAGGTGTCCTTGGGACAGAGTTCAGCTCATGCCAGCACCATCCATCACTGAATATCCCCTCTGAGAGAAGCTGGGGCTCTCTTCAGCCCCATGAGTGGTGCACTCCTCCAGCCCTCTTTCTGAGTGCGGCATTGTGTCTCCTGGACTGTCCTGGGATTCCGGCGCATCCTCTGACCTCCACATCTCCATGTGGCTCCACAGGAGGGGCTGTGAAATGGGGGTGCAGAGGCCCACACTCTTTTTTTCCTGAGCAGTCTACCCTGTGCCATCCATACTCTGCTGCTGGTGTGGGGTCTTCCACAAGCCCTCCACCTTCTGAGATCTCTAGGGGCACGTGGGCAACGTGCTCCATGCTCACATCTATTCCCAAGCTCCCGGTGTCCTGAGTTAGGCTCACGGGAGCACTCCCTCCCTAGATTTTGTTCCTCTCCCACGGCAGCCACAGAGTGGGGCTGCAGATCCTGCAGGTCGGCAGGCACCCGGCTCGGGAGGGAAACACCAGCTTCCATCTTTCGGGCACCCCCATTTCTTTTTTTTGTGGTAAGGAAGATTGGGGACTCTTTTTATATTTAATTTTTGAATAAATAATATATTTACATGATTCAAAAACCAAAAGAATATGAAAAGGCAAATATTATCTTTTTTTATTATACTTTAAGTTCTGGGATACATATGCAGTACGTGCAAGTTTGTTACATAGGTATACATGTGCCATGGTGGTTTGCTGCACCCATCAACCTGTCATCTACATTAGGTATTTCTGCTAATGATATCCCTCCCCTATCCCCTACCTTCCGACAGGCCCCGGTGTGTGATGTTCCCCTCCCTGGGGCACCCCCATTTCTATGAGGGATTCTCTTGGAGCTCCTCTCATCACAATGACGGCTCTCTACGTGACCACTTCCCCCACCATCCTCTTCTTTCTCTTCCCTCCCCAGTCTTTCCTATAGATGGTGTGTGTTGGTGGTTTGGGGTGGAGCCTGGTGTTAGAGGGGCTGGTTGTGTTTCTTTTTGATGAAGACCTTGGGGACATGTCTGCTGCTGGTGGGTCTCTTTAGATGTGTGATAGTGAGCACGTCTTTGCCCTTAGTTTTGTTTCCAGTGTCTTGGGGCAACAGTAAAAAAAAAAAAAAAAAAAAAAAAAAATCCCATTTGAGATCCTGTTGCACACATTTAGACTGAGAGTTTGTTTAGGACTAGAAAAATTTTAGAAACATCATGAGGGTCTTCCTGCTTTTCCCCTTCACTCCTATCCCTAAGTCACCTCCCAACCCAAATTGCTCCCATGCCTCTAATTATCCCCTCTGTGCAGGAGACCCCCAAGCCTCCTCCACCAGCCCTGAGCTTTCTCTGCAGGAGTCCTCTTAGCTATCCCACCACTTTCAGTCTGCTCAGACCCACCCTCATCATCTTTCCTTCCCTTCCGTCTCCCACAATCCAGGCCAGTGTTTTCTCTACAGTAAGAATTTGCCCCACAAGCATTCAATTGAGCAGCTACTGTACACCAAGTCCTGTGATAGGTGCTGGGGATACAGGGACAACCAAAAATGGTTGTTGCCCTCAAAGAACTCTTGGCATAGTGGTAGCCATTGACCCAAGAAGAGGTCCTCAGTATGAAATGGGAAGAGCTAAGGTAAGCACAAGGCATGAATATGCCACCTTTCCTGGGCACACAGGAATGGCTTCCGGGAGGGATGATCTCTGGGCTCAGTCTTGAATTGCAATAAGTAGCAAAGTAAGAAATAGGAAGGCATTGCAGGGAAAGGAAACAGCAAGAACAAAGGCGTGGAGGCATGGACTAGCATGTGCTGAGAACTTGGAGCAGTTCCATGTTCCTGGGGTCTAAAGTGCAGGGTGGGGAGTGGGAAAAGATAAGCTGGTTTCCTGACTCTGTTCCTAGCACCTCCCTCCTTTCAATCATCCATGGGCAAGTTGTGGTCGACTCCTCTGCAGTAAACCTTCACCCCTGCTGTTCACCCCACCACAGAGTTAAAGATGGGGTGGGGTGGCTGACCACATGGTATCTTCTCACTTGGATGCCATGTTGCCAGTAGGTGAGGATGGTGAAGTCTCCCCTGTGGGAGGTGGCCTGGAGGGACCATTTGGGGTAAGACAGCTACCCCAAGGCCAGCCCCTCTGCCCTCACCCTGATCCTTCCTCTAGGCTCCGCTTTTGGTCTGAATTCTTAATCTCCTCGATCTTTGACTTCCCTTTGCTTTCTTAATCCTTGAGTTTGCTGCAGAATTTGGCCCACAGATTTCATCTGGTCCCTTGAATAGGCAGTTCAGTTGGATCCATCTCCGTTGGCATTGACATTTTACACATGGCAGGATGGTTTTCAGGAAAAGGACCTGTGTTGTGTGGACCCTGAGGTATCTTTATGAGTTCCTGCCTGGCCAGCTCCCCAAAACTCCTGGCCACTACTCAACTGTCCTAGAGAATTGGGATCCCCTAGGTGAGGTCAGTTGGTAGCCTTCTTCCTTGGTGTGTGTGGGTTGAGAGAGATTGGCAGGGAGCCAGTGTCCCAGCTGAGAATCTGTTCCTGGGCTCAGAAGAAGCGGAGTGTCTCTGCCTAGTGACCCCGGGACATTCACAGATACGTGATCCGTGGTGGGTGTGCTCCATCCCAGTTTGATGGGATCCCTGGTCCAAAGCACGTACCTAGGCTCCTGGCTCTTCCAGGCAACTGGCGAGAACTCACAGAATGCATTTTCTTTTTTTTTGAGACAGGGTCTTGCTCTGTCTCCCAGGCTGGAGTGTGGTAGTGTGATCATGGCTTGCTGCAGCCTTGACCTCCCCAGCTCAAGTGATCCTCCCACCTCAGACTCCTGAGTAGCTGGGACTACAGGCATGTACCACTATACCGGGCTAATTTTTTTATTTTTTGGCAGAAACAGGGTTTTGCCATGTTGCCCAGGCTGGTCTTGAACTCCTGAGCTCAAGCAATCCACCCGCCTCTGCCTCCCAAAGTGCTGGGACTACAGGTGTGAGCCACAGTTCCCGGCCTAAATGCATTTTCTTTTCCTTTTTTTTTTTTGTTGAGATAGAGTATCGCTCTGTCGCCCAGGCTGGAGTGCAGTGGCACGATCTCGGCTCACTGCACACTCTGCCTCCTGGGTTCATGCCATTCTCCTGCCTCAGCCTCCTGAGTAGCTGGGACTACAGGTGCCTGCCACCACATCTGGCTAATTTTTTTTTTTGGTGGGTTTTTTTTTTATTATACTTTAAGTTTTAGGGTATATGTGCACAACATGCAGGTTAGTTACATATGTATACATGTGTCATGTTGGTGTGCTGCACCCATTAACTCGTCATTTAGCATTAGGTATATCTCCTAATGCTATCCCTCCCCCCTCCCCCCACCCCACAACAGGCCCTGGTGTGTGATGTTCCCCTTCCTGTGTCCATGTGTTCTCATTGTTCAATTCCCATCTATGAGTGAGAACATGCGGTGTTTGGTTTTTTGTCCTTGTGATAGTTTGCTGAGAGTGATGGTTTCCAGCTTCATCCATGTCCCTACAAAGGACATGAACTCATCATTTTTTATGGTTGCATAGTATTCCATGGTATATATGTGCCACATTTTCTTAATCTAGTCTATCATTGTTGGACATTTGGCTTGGTTCCAAGTCTTTGCTATTGTGAATAGTGCCACAATAAACATACGTGTGCATGTGTCTTTATAGCAGCATGATTTATAATCCTTTGGGTATATACCCAGTAATGGGATGGCTGGGTCAAATGGTATTTCTAGTTCTAGATCCCTGAGGAATCGCCACACTGACTTCCACAATGGTTGAACTAGTTTACAGTCCCACCAACAGTGTAAAAGTGTTCCTATTTCTCCACATCCTCTCCAGCACCTGTTGTTTCCTGACTTTTTAATGATCACCATTCTAACTGCACATGCGGCTAATTTTTTGTATTTTTATTTTTTATTTTTTTTTAGTAGAGACGTGGTTTCACTGTGTTAGCCAGGATGGTCTTGATCTCCTGACCTTGTGATCTGCCCACCTCGGCCTCCCAAAGTGCTGGGATTACAGGTGTAAGCCACCGCGTCCGGCCCCTAAATGCATTTTCTTGATAACTAGAGCCAAGCAATTCTGGAGGGGAACATGCTATAAGGAAACCGTTCATTGATTTCTTCATTCTTTCACTCTGGCAGAGGCTGCACTGGGAATTGGAGGATAGCAGAATGAAGAAGATACAGCTCCTTTTCTCAAGGGGTTTGTGGTTTAGTGGGAGCTGTGAGCAGGCTCTGTGATGTGTGTGTTTAATGGCAGTGGGCAGCACAGCCAGCCACCTGCAGAGGGGGAGGGGTGCTTCTTAATTCCTGGATGCTTTTAATCTGCGTGTGGTGGCAGGCCCACCTACAGGAACAAACTGCAGTGCATCAGACTATGGGGTATAGTTCTGGGACATATTGTGTGATACAGAGAGGGTGAGGTGCCCCCCAGGAGAGGAAGGCTCTGAACTGTGTCCATCAAGAGTGGCTCTGGGGTTGGCAGAAGTGATCTGTTGTTTCACTGGGCAGAGGCAGCCCTCCTGGCTTTCTGAGATCTAAGAGTCAGGTCGTGCTAATAATCCTGGACCTATTCCAGGGGCCCCTCCCACCACCCAGTGACAAAAGGAAGCAGCTCCAAGGCTTGGGACTTCCTTATGGCCCTGAAGCTAGGAAAGGGAGTGCCCAGGACAGGAACAACTGGTACACCCGAGCGGGGCTCCCTCCTGGTGTCTCTGCAAAGGGGAGTCATATCATCCCAGTGAGAGGCGGGAAGGGCAGGCGGGAGTCAGATGCTTTTTCTGTGAGTTGGGATTGCAGTTCTGCCTCCCCCAGAGTGTTTGTTATGAGCAAACACATAATTTGTGAAAGTGTTGGGAAAAGATCAGCTCCTGTGAAAAAATAAAACACTATTCACACTTCTACCTGATTTTTTCTCATTCTGGTGGAATTCCCCCCACCACAAATGAGTTTCTTAAAACCAAACAACAAACCAACCAGCTCACCCCCACCCACCCCATCACAACACATTTATTTAGTGCCTACTTGTTGTTGGTTACTTACAATGAAAGAAAGGCAGGCAGATGGATAACCTAGTTCAATATTTTACGTGAGATGCATTATTTTACTAAGTCCTTTCCAAACCATACCCATCAGATCCTATCTCCATGGGAGTGGAGAAATTTGAGCAACAGAGAGGTTAGGAAATTTTCCTGAGGTCACAGGGTTAGGCAGTAGCAGAGCCGGAATTTAAACCCCAGTCTTCTGTCTCCAAATGACCTGCTTGGCTAATGCTAGATTGGCCTTGAAAGGTTATATTTTTATTTGGTTGAGGAGACTCTTTCAGTTCCAGGCGACCAAAACAAACAATTCTTTATGCCATGGCTGGGCTGAAAATTCCTCAGTGAAGGGCAGTGGCTCTGGGAATATTTTACACATCTCTTCTCATCTTCAAAGGCAGCTGAGCCGTGGTGTCCTGGGTTCTGTGGTGGCCTCATCTGCAGACTCCCACAAGAATTTGGGGAAATCTTTGCAGGCATGTGGGGGTTGGCCCCTTGGGAAGAACATTCAGACAGTGTGGAGTCATAGCTGGTACCCAGGGCCCAGAAGATGCCCCACTGCTCCTTCGGGATGCCCCACGGGAAGTGCCGTTCCATTGTTGTGGGCGGAATTTTGTGGAACACAACCCCTTGGAGCCAGCTCAGGCACGAGGGTTGCATGTGGGGGGGCCCGGGCAGGGCATGGTTATTGGAGTGGGACAGGGATGGATCTCTAGATGGAAAGTGAGGCCAGCGGCTGGTGGGAACTGGATCTTGGAAGCCCCAGAGAGGGAGCAGCTGCTCTCTCTTGGGCTGCGTGGCTTAGCTCTTTGCCTATTTCTGAGCCTCTGCCCCATTTTCCAATTTGAGCCAGGCTTCCCCTGCTTGCTTTGACTTCTCTGCTCTGTGTGCCCCCTCCAGCTTCAGTTTGCAGGTAGCTTGGTTTTCTAGAGGGCCTCTTGTGGCTGTGACCACACACAACCCTAAATGCCATCACCATCTTACCTACATTATGTTTTTTCTTTCTACATTTTGTAATTTTAAACTAGATGAAGAATTCCATAAAACATGCAAAAAAAGCAAGGATGTGCCCAGTGCTGAAAGCCTGGGCCTGGAGTGAGAGTGTGGAGGCAGGAGGTAGCAGTGGCTCCCGGGTTAGCGCTGAGGAGCTGCATTTAGGTTAATGGGGACTGGGCCAGGGCAGGGGTGGGCCTAATGGTGACATTGGCAGTTGTCTGGAGCAGCCCTGGGAACCTAGCTCTGTGGAAGGCAGGGCAGGGGTGGTGTCCCCAGGGGAAGGGTGGTATCAACCCACAGACACACTCAAGGCTCAGAATCATTGGAAGGGGGTGGGTGGATGCTGGTCAGTGGGTGCCCAGGCTGGACAAGTGAGTGCCCCTCCAGACACAGGCATTGGGAGACTCAGCATGTGTTCCCCTCCCCATCACAGAGCAAGGCAATGTTTAAAAACTAGAATAGATGCCTAGGAAGCGGGTACTGTGGCCATTCCAGGCACCTAGAACAAGGGCAGGCTTCAAACAGGGAGCCCTGTGGTAACCCCTCCCATCTCTGGAGCTGAGGGAGGGGACAGGGGAAGCCAAGAACAGAGACAGGAAAAGGGGAAAAGTGGCCAGGGGGACAGACAGAAGGAGGATGGTCTTCTTGACCCCATCACCCTCAGGGCTGGGGGCACAGAGTTGGCCCATCCTGCCAGCCTCACCACCCCTCAGAAGAGGCCACAGTTCTTCTGGCTATGATTTTTTATTTTGAGACAGGGTCTTGCTCTGTCATCCAGGCTGGAGTGCAGTGGTGTGATCATAGCTCGCTGCAGCCTCTAACTCCTGGGCTCAAGCGATCCTCCTGCCTCAGGATCCTAGTCCCGAGTAGCTGGGACTACAGGTGCATGCCACTGTGCCTGGCTTTTTTTTCTTTTTTGGTAGAGATGGGGTTGCACTCTGTTGTCCAGGCTAATTTTGAACTCCTGGCTTCAAGATATCCTCCTGCCTCGGCCTCTCACAGTGTTGGAATAATAGGCATAAGCCACCACACCCAGCCCTTCTGGCTGTTCTTGATGGTGATGTCAGTCGTGCTCTGCACATTCTGTTTTTCATGTCGGTGACAGCATAGGTGACTTGTGCATGGATCTCCCTGGTGTTCTTGCGCTATTCAGGCCCTCTCACTTACTCTGATGTAGCTGGCAGCCTCGTCAGACTTGCTGACCCCTGTGTACTTGTGGAAGCAGATGGTGGGGGCTGCGTGTGATCTTCTCCTCACCTAGGTCCTTCTTCTTGATGAAGAGGATGACAGACGTTTCCATGACCACTTGACATAGATGCTGCCAAACAGCTTCATGTTCTGGTGTGTGTGATTCAGCTTGTCCTCAGCTCAGGCCACAGATGCTCAAGCCTGCACAGAAGATGGTGGCTGTGATGCCCTCAAAGCAGTGGGTCCACTGCTGCCCAGACTGCTGACTGCCACATCAGCCATCTTGAAGAGAGTAGGTCCCTGGAGGTGAAGGGCGTCTTTAAGCAGCTCTGCAGCTCCACCTTCTGTGTGGGGGCATGGTCACTCTGTGTCCTGTGGCTCCAGGTCGTTCAGGTGGAAGGCGGCTAAACTGTGGAGCTGGTGTCCTGTGGGTAACCAAAGCAGGATGAAACAGGCATCCCATGGAGCAAATCCAATGGGCAGCCCAGAGATTCCGGATGACGCTGGACAGCTTCAGTTTGCAGGTGGCATCTGGACAGGTCCTCAGGGAGTGCACCCTGGCCCACAACTGTGTAAGACATTGCAAACTGTTGCCTGGCATCATCCGTATGGAAGGGGTTGGCAAAGTCAGTCTGTAGGTTGCCTGTGGCCTTGACGATGGCCATGATGGCCTGGAGGGTGTGGCTGTAGATGACTGCCCTGCACAGCCAACCTTCCTCCTCTGAGTAACCATCCTCTTGGATGATCTGCTTTGAGGTCCTTAGGGCAGGTATCTATCTCTAGTCTAATCAAGGGAGAGCGTGTGGTACAACCATGGCTTCCTACTTCCTAGAGCTGCACCTAAGACAAAGATGCTTTAACACATCTGCCTGGACCAGGGGCTAGCTGAGGACATTTGCTTCACTCCAGACCATCAGCGGGAGGGCAGAACCTGGAGCATGGCTTCCCGGGCTCAGTGTCTCGTGCTCTGATCTTTTCAGAGTGGGCAGCTGCCTCTGAAGGCTCTGAGCCGGGAGACTGTGCTTTTGGGGAGGACCACGAAACAGCCATTGGCTGGTGGGTTTCCATTTGAAGTCAAGTCATTGGGAGCCCATGAAGAAGACAGAGTGCTGTGGGAGACCCACGTCCACAAACTCAGGAGTCTAATAATACCCTGCTCTGAGCATCTCCCACATGCCAGGCACTGTGCTCAACATTTTACGCAGGGAATCTCCTTTCATTCTCATAAGCCTGCCAGTAGAAAAGGACCTGATTACTGCCTTTACCCAAATGGAGTCACATCCATTCGTTCATCAAGTACTTACTGAGTGCTTCCTGGGTACCACGGCTGTACTGGGATATGATGGTGTACAACGGATAATGCTACTACAAGCTAACTGTGGACCAGAGACCATGCCAACTAAGGGTTTTACATATATGTATCCTCCCCGCCTTTTTTTTTTTTGAGACGGAATTTCGTTCTTGTTGCCCAGGCTGGAGTGCGATGGCGCAATCTCGGCTCACTGCAACCTCTGCCTCCCAGGTTCAAGTGATTCTCCTGCCTTAGCCTGCCAAGTAGCTGGGATTACAGGCACCCGCCAACACGCCCAGCTAATTTTTGTACTTTTTTAATAGAACGGGGTTTCACCATGTTGGCCAGGCTGGTCTCAACCTCCTGACCTCAGGAGATCCACCCGCTCTGGCCTCCCAAAGTGCTGGGATTACAGGCGTGAGCCATGGCGTCCAGCCCGTATCCATTTTAGTTCTTAGAACAACCCTATGAAAGAATTTCCATTAAAAAAGTCATATCCCCATTTAATTAAAGAGACTTCCCTTTTAAACCCATTTTACAAATAAGAAAACTGAAGTCCAGGGAGGTTAAGTTCCTTACAGAAGGTCACACAGCTAGTAAGTGTAACAATGTGAATTGGAGCCCAGGCCTGATGGCCTCTTATCACGCAATACAAAAATTCTGGGCAAAGATGAATCTCTGCTGGCCAAGGGGCAGCCTGGGGAAGAATGTTGTCATGGCCTTGGCCTAAGCTGGTTACTGTGTGTGTTGAAGTGGGGATGGGGAGCGGGGTTCTTGCGTGTGCCCCTCCCACCTTCCTCCTTAATTTCTGCCTCCTGTCCTCGATTCTGCTCCTCCTGCCCGGTGCTCCCCATCTTGGGGTCACAGGGATGCTTGGCCTCCACACTGTGGCACTGTTTGTGTCTGGGAGCTCTGCAGGCCCAGCTGGCTGAGCAGGGCCATGTTTGTCAGAGCTGCCCCTGCCAGCCATGTCCCCTGTGCCCCTGTGGACTCTCCTGATGTTGGAATCATGTCTTTACTGAATAACAAACTGTGTGTGTGTGTGTGTGTGTGTGTGTGTGTGTGTGTGTGTGTATGTGTGTGTGAGAGAGAGAGAGTTAGACAAAAGGAGGCCTTGGCATTAGGCCTTTTAATGAGCAAAGTGACAAGGTGACTGTCCTTAATTGGCTATCACAACAGCCAACCAGGTCCTGCTCCCTCCATACAGGCCTCCTGCCTCCTTGAAGTGGCAGCCACCACTCGATGCTCGGAAGGCTGGGGAGCAAGCAGCAGCTTTTCTCTCACTCTCTGGATCCGAGACAGCTTCTCCCCAGCAGGCACCAACTGGCTTGGCTGGCTTTCTGGAACCTGGGTGACAGCCTTCTCCCCTCTGCCTGGTTGCCTTCATTGCCTAGAGAGGGAGCTTTTGGCTGTTCGTTTGAAGCTCCCAGGTCATTATGATAAACTTCTTGTGTTAGAGCTACTGCAGAAGCCACCACTGAGAGTATGTGGTGAAGAGGCCAGTCCTATTTTGGAGAAGTTGGGAGAATGAGAGAAGACCTTGGGTTCCTGTTGCTTCAGGATTTCCATTTTAGCTGATGAGAGAAAACACTTACCAATGTCAGAGCCCTAACCTGGCAAGAGGTGGCTTTGATGTCATGGAAAGAGCACTAATGTGGCAGTCAAGGGACTTGGAGCCAAGTTCTACTAAGATAGTAAGTAGCTGCTAATAGTATATAGTGCTTACTATGGGTGAGCACTCTTCTAAACACCTTACATATTTTAATTCACAACAACCCTGTGAAATAGGAACATTACTTCCTCTATTTTATAGTTGATGGAATTGAAGCACAGAGAGGGTGGTGACTGGCTCAAGGTCACAGAGCCATTAGAGGCAGAGCAGACAGTCACGAGCCACTTCCCTGCACTCGAGGCCACTGTGTTGCCACTGTCCTGCTGCCAGAGGCAGGGCCGTGGGCCTCATGACCACAGGGGTAGCTGGTCGCCTGGCCCACCTGCCTGTTCCACCCACTGCAGCTAGGCTATGGATGTGACTGTCCAAAGAGTGTGAGGCAGCAAGGGATGGAGCTTCTTTTCCCAGGGACAAAAGGAACTGCACGGAGGGTGTCAGCACAAAGCTGCCCTAGCCAGCCTTTCCTAGTTGATCACACCAGTCATTAATCCACATGCAGAACGCAGTTTGGGTCCGGGCTCCAGGCTCCACAGTCATTGCCATGTTTTCACGGGCCTGATAAATGATTCTGCTATAAAGACTTGAAGGGCAACTGTGCAAAGTGGTTCTGAGCAAGATTCTTTAAGACCTTTGTACACATTCCCATTGAGTCTGAGGTCACCTTGGGACCAGGGGAAGGAGAAGCTGGCAGTGTTGGGAAGCCAGAGGTCTTTGGTCTGGAGTCACAGGAAGCCTGTAAGGTCTTGTTCCCAAAAGTCAGAGGAGCAGGGCCTTGGAGAGCATTTAGTCCATGTTTTTCACAGTATATGAGAGGAGGCTTGGGTCCAGACAGAAGAAGGCAGTAGCTCAAGGTTGACCAGGATTAGTCTTGTTCTGGGGCTCTTAAGACTGCCTGGCCTTTTGGAACCCTGTTACAACACATTGCATCACATGCATTATCTCATTTTAATCTCCACACCAACCCAAGGAGGTGGGTGTTATTAAGGCCATTTTACAGATGAGGAAATCAAGGCCCAAGTGGCAGAACTGGGATTTGGCCCCAGATACTTCCATATTATTTCATGAGCTTCCCTTTAATATTAAGACCATCTTTATATCTTCCAGAGCACCTTCTCTTCCATGTATAGTTTGTTTGTCTGGTGGCCATAATTCCTGAGCCAGCAATTCCTGACTGGATGGTCAGTCTAACCTCAGATAGGCGAGGTTCAAATCCAACTCCACCATTTAGTAAGTCTGACGTGGAGCAAGTCATGCAATTGTTGAAACCTTAGTTTCTACTTTGTAAATTAGGGATAATAATGCCTAATTACAGGACATTTTTTAAGGATGAAATGATACAGTCCTTGGAAGACACTTATTATATTAACAAGGATGTAAGTGGTAGCTCTAATTTTTTATTATTATTGATAAGGAGTGCCAGTATTTGATACTGAGTCTTACCCTGAAAACCTGGAATTATGTTTGTTGCAACTTAGTGCAGTCTGATTAATGCAATAATTTTTGGCTGAGATCTAAAGAAGGCATGGCTATTATTATAATCTTAATAGGTTTTATTTTTATTTTTTATTTTTATTTCCATAGGTTTTTGGGAAACAGGTGGTGTTTGGTTTCATGAATAAGTTCTTTAGTTGTTACCATAATAGGTTCATTGCCCGATGCACACAGCAAGTCAACATGCCAAGACATGGGAGACACGGGTTGCAGCAGATAAAGAGATTTGATCATAGGGTCAAGGAATCAAGATATGGGAGGGGACCTCAAATCCATCTCCTCAAGGAAGTTGGGGTAGGAGTTTTAAGGGTTTTGGAGTGGACCAAAGTGTGGAGGTGGAAGAGTGAAAGGTGAAGTCACTGGGCAGGTAGAAGCAGCAGCTGTATTCTCATGCTAATCCCCTTCCTCTCTCAGGGTCTTCAAACTGGTTGCTGGAATTGGGGCCTGAAAAACATCTTAAGTGATCCTTCAACAAAAGCCTTATGATTCTAATGATAGAGATCCTGTATGTGGGAACAATGGGGATGCAAGTCAATTCTTTTTTTTTTTGAGATGGAGTCTTGCTCTGTTGCCCAGGCTGGAGGGCAGTGGCTTGATCTTGTCTGACTGCAACCTCTGCCTCTGGGTTCAAGAGATTCTCCTGCCTCAGCCTCCTGAGTAGCTGGGATTACAGGTGTGCACCACCACACCCAGCTAATTTTTGTATTTTTAGTAGAGACGGGGTTTCACCGTGATGGCCAGGCTGGTCTCGAACTCCTGATCTCAGGTGATCTGCCTGCCTTGGCCTCCCAAAGTGCTGGGATTATAGGTATGAGCCACCGCGCCTGGCTGCAAGTCAATTCTTAAACAGTCTTATGATCCTAATGTCAGAAATCTCGTCTACAGGAACAAGGGGATACAATTGGTCAGGATCTAGTGCTGCATGACTTTCAGCAACAAGGAAGTGAGCCAAAGTGCAGCCTGATTAATGCTTAATTCTAAGTATATTTCTGTCCAGAACTCAGCATGCAATTCTTGTCAACTCTATAGGAATGGTTTCATTATCATTTCATTTATTAAGGTCTGTGGTTGAATAATGGCTCCCCAAAATATCCTAGTCTTAGTTCTGGACCCTGTGAATATGTTAACTTACGTGGCAAAAGGGATTTGCAGATGTGGTTCAACTGAGAATCTTGAGATGGAGAAATTGTGGTAGATTATCTGGGTGGGCCCAATATAACCACAAAGGTCCTTATAAGAAGGAGGCAGGAGGGTCTGAGTTGGAGAAGATAGGATGATGGAAGCAAAGGTCAGACACAGAGAAAGATGAGGATAGTTTGTTGCTGGCTTTGAAGATGGAAGAGGGGGCCATGAGCCAAGGAATATAGGCAGCCTCTAGAAGCTGGGAGCAGCTTCTCCTCTAGAGCTTCTGTGAGGAGTGCACCCTTGCCCACTTATTTTGGACTTCTGACCTCCAGAACTGTAAGGTCATAATTTTTTTTTTTTTTTTTTTTTTGAGACGAGTCTTGCCCTGTCGCCCAGGCTGGAGTGCAGTGGTGTGATCTCAGCTCACTTCAACCTCTGCCTCCCGGGTTCAAACGATTCTCCTGCCTCAGACTCCTGAGTAGTTGGGCCTACAGGTGCATGCCACCACGCCCAGCTAATTTTTGTATTTTTACTAGAGATGGGGTTTTAACATGTTGGCCAGGCTGGTCTCGAACTCCTGACCTCGTGATCCGCCCTTTTTGGCTTCCCAAAGTGCTGGGATTACAGGCGTGAGCCACTGCACCTGGCTAAATTTGTTTTTTTTTTTTTTTAAGCCACTAAATTTGTAGTAATTTGTTACTAAAGCAGTAGGAAATTAATACAAGATCCTTATTTAATACTTTCTACTCAAATTGCCCAGGCTTTTTTTTTTTTTTTTTGAGACAGAGTCTTGCTCTGTCGTCCAGGCTGGAGTGCAGTGGTCCAATCTTAGCTCACTGCAACCTCTGCCTCCCGGGTTCAAGCGATTCTTGTGCCTCAGCCTCCCCAGTAGCTGGGATTACAGGCACGCACCCCCACACCTGGCTAATTTTTTTTTTTTTTTTTTAGTATTTATTGATCATTTATTGTTTCTCGCGGAGGGGGATTTGGCAGGGTCATAGGACAATAGTGGAGGGAAGGTCAGCAGACAAACAAGTGAACAAGGGTCTCTGGTTTTCCTAGGCAGAGGACCCTGCGGCCCTCCGCAGTGTTTGTGTCCCTGGGTACTTGAGATTAGGGAGTGGTGATGACTCTTAATGAGCATGCTGCCTTCAAGCATCTGTTTAACAAAGCATATCTTGCACCGCCCTTACTCCATTCAACCCTGAGTGGACACAGCACATGTTTCAGAGAGCACGGGGTTGGGGGTAAGTTTATAGATTAACAGCATCCCAAGGCAGAAGAATTTTTCTTAGTGCAGAACAAAATGGAATCTCCTATGTCTATTTCTTTCTACACAGACACAGCAACAATCTGACTTCTCTATCCTTTCGCCACATTTCCCCCTTTTCTATTCGACAAAACCGCCATCGTCATCATGGCCCGTTCTCAATGAGCTGTTGGGTACACCTCCCAGATGGGGTGGCGGCCGGGCAGAGGGGCTCCTCACTTCCCAGAAGGGGCGGCCGGGCAGAGGCGCCCCCCACCTCCTGGACGGGGCGGCTGGCCGGGCGGGGGCTGCCCCCCACCTCCCGGATGGGGCGGCTGCTGGGTGGAGAGGCTCCTCACTTCCCAGACGGGGCGGCTGCCGGGCGGAGGGGTTCCTCACTTCTCAGACGGGGCAGCCGGGCAGAGACGCTCCTCACCTCCCAGACGGGGTCGCGGCTGGGCAGAGGCGCTCCCCACATCTCAGACGATGGGTGGCCGGGCAGAGACGCTCCTCACTTCCTAGACGGGATGGCGGCCGGGAAGAGGCACTCCTCACTTCCCAGACTGGGCAGCCGGGCAGAGGGGCTCCTCACATCCCAGACGATGGGCGGCCAGGCAGAGACGCTCCTCACTTTCCAGACGGGGTGGCGGCCGGGCAGAGGCTGCAATCTCGGTACTTTGGGAGGCCAAGGCAGGCGGCTGGGAGGTGGAGGTTGTAGGGAGCCAAGATCACGCCACTGCACTCCAGCCTGGGCAACATTGAGCACTGAGTGAAGGAGACTCCGTCTGCAATCCCGGCACCTCGGGAGGCCGAGGCTGGCAGATCACTCGCGGTTAGGAGTGGAGACCAGTCCGGCCAACACAGCGAAACCCCAAAAAATACGAAAGACCAGTCAGGCGTGGCGGTGCGCGCCTGCAATCCCAGGCAGTCGGCAGGCTGAGGCAGGAGAATCAGGCAGGGAGGTTGCAGTGAGCCGAGATGGCGGCAGAACAGTCCAGCTTCCGCTGGGCATCAGAGGGAGACCGTGGAGAGAGAGGGAGAGGGGAGAGGGGAGAGGGGAGGGGGAGGGGGAGAGGGAGAGGGAGAGGTTTTTTGTATTTTTAGTAGAGACAGGGTTTCGCCATGTTTGCCAGGCTGGTCTCGAACTCCTGACCTCAAGTGATCTGCCCAACTCAACCTCCCAACATGTTGGGATTACAGGCGTGAGCCACCATGCCTGGCCTGCACAGGCATTTAATAGCGACTCTGCTATTAGGCCAGGTGCTGCTGGGCACTTTCACCTCAATGTGTTTCTCTAAGCATTGTGATGAGTGGATGCAGAATGGGCTTTTTTTGTTGTTGTTAGAGATGGGGGTCTCTCTCTGTCACCCAGGCTGGAGTGCAGTAGCAGGATCACGGCTCACTACAGCCCTGCAGCCTTGAACTCCTGGGCTCAAAGTATCCTCCCATCTCAGCCTCCTGAATAGCTGGAACTATAGGTGTGCACCACCACACCCACCTAATTTTTAAATTTTGTGTAGAGATGGGATCTCACATATATTACCTAGGCTGGTCTCGAAATCCTGGACCTCAAGCTATCCTCCCACTTTGGCCTCCCAAAATGTTGGGATTACAGTCATGAGCCACCGCACCTGGCCTGAGTGGGCTTTGATGTAGAAGATCTTAGCAGGAATCCCAGCTCCACTCTCATTTGTGGTGTGATCTTGGGCCAGGCACCTGATCTCTCTGAGCCTCAGTTTCCTTATCTACAAAGTAGAGAGTATAACAGTAAAAGTACTTGACGTGGTGGGCTTGGCACTTGGCAGATTCTAACCCAATCCATCTTGCTGCCTCCTTCTCCCAGGCTTGGATGCATCTGGAGATTCTCTTCCCTAGGATAGCCCCTTTGACTCTGGGGGGTAATGTTGAGTGTTTCCTGTCTTAGGGGTCCCCTCAGGGACAGAATCAGGACTAGGCAGTACAAAGAGCTCACATTCAGCCAGGGCTTTCCTGAGGTTGAACCAGCTCCTTGATACCTACCCTGTTTTGGGGGACCCAGATGTTATAACTCTCCTCACCTGGGGCCGGTCTCACTTGGGCATGGATGGGACATTCAGCTCAGGGCTCACATTATCAAAGACTTCAGATATGGACTTTTGAGGTCATTGCCCCATGAGGTTATACTTGCAGCCCCAGAGCTGGCTGGTGGGCCTGAAAGAAGATGTATGTGTTGGGGTTTTGAACTCATACCTCAGTCCTGCCCCTCATTACCAGCCATGCTCTTGACTTCGACTTCATACTTGTCAGGAATACAGGATTTATTTTTATGATCAGCAAAATCACATTGCATTGCACTTTATTTTGGGTTGGTGGGTTAAAACAATATATTGGTAAATGCACACATTGAAAATTCTTCACTTTTTTTTGGTTTGCATTCTGGCTTTGGCAGTTCTTCATTTTTCACTCTACTCTGAGCTTCTGGAAGGGGAAGTAGCCTGAGTTGATCTTAATCACATGAAAGCTTTGCCCCTAACCTTCCTTTTTATCTGGGTCTCCTGTATTTGAATAGAGGCTTTTCCCTGTTGAAGCCCCGTCCCGTTCATTACCTCCTGCAATGCTCTCAACAGATCTCTGAGTGAGGTATTATTATTCTGCTCTGATTCAACCAGGATGCATGGGCGAGCAGGTTATTGCCACCATCCACTCCAATTGGTCAGGGCCCGTGCTGTACTGATGGTTACCTATTTAAATAGTAAACCTGATTATCCCCATTTTACAGATGAGACAACTCAGATAGGGGAAGAATGTGTGTGAAGCCAGGCAGCTGAAACCAGGGCCTCTAACTCTGAGAACCTGTGAGCTTTTCCCTCTGTCCAAGCTCCCCCTCTTTATGGAAGGTTTAGTCACACTGGCTTTAAAGACCCCATTACAATATCTCAGTTTCTTTTCTTTTTACCACCTCGGAAGTGGCTGTAAAAATATTAAAACCAATTGCCATCATCTTTCAGACTGCTGCATTTATAAGATGTAGCTTTCAAATGAATGGAAATAATCGAAACTCCCTCCCTGTTCCATTCTGTGGGGCCATTTCAGATTTATACAATATTTCTGAAAGCTCTTATAATAGAGCATATGCACTTAGGGCATTAATGAAGTCGGCTCAGTGCTTGCTGGTCTCATTTCATGGAGCTAATTGTTAAGTGTTTTGCATACTTACAATTGAACTAAATTATTCCAAGCTAGCTGGTTTCAGGAAGTGTTAATTATATTTCAGTAAAGGAAAATCAAGGCTAAAAAATCATCCACTTAGAGCTTATCTATTTATGAACATCTCATTCTGGAGATCTCAAACATATATTTTAACGCCATGTGAATATTGAGATTAATATTTCTTAACCAAAGAAACCTTTATTCCTTCCTTGAATAGGGACCCTCATCCCATCCTTCCACTTTTATTTAGCAGTCTAGTCTGGAAGTTGAAAGAAACCTTCCTTTGTATTTCTGGCACCTTGAATCTTTAAGTTGGATGCCAAGAACAGCATTAGCTCCATTCATCTGGAGAGCAACTGGCCTTCTGTAACTGATATTAAGTAATTAATTTATGGGTCCTGCACAGGCCATTTAGGACCAAGTGCTCCCTTGCTTCTGGGGTTTGAGGAAATCACTGGGACAGTTTTCACCTGGGACTTAGCTTGGAGGGGCTGAGTGGTGAAGGGTTGTCACTCAGGTCTTAGTTCAGGGGCAGGTGTGGGGGTGGGGAGTGGGTGGGAGTGGGATGTGAGGTCCCAGTTGGGGAGGGGAGTCTGTAACACCTGCATTGTCCTCTCCCACCCTTCTCTTCCTCCTTTTTGGATCAGCAGGGCTGAATGAATGCCTGAATGAAGTGCTCCGAGCTTTTTTTGTATCTGATGCTCAATTTCTCTGCCACTTGTTTTGAACTTTCTGTTTATTCACCATGCATGCATTCATTCGCTCACTGAGCGCACACATATGAAGCTAAGGAAGGCCCATCACTCGAGAGCACTGGGCCAGGGCCTGCTAGGGAGAGCTGAGACTGGCAGAGCCCCCACCTTCCGAAACTCTCACAATACATCAACGGACCTGGGCATCAGCACCAGTGCAGGGCCTGTTCAAACACAGAGTGCTGGGCCCCAACCCAGAGTTCTGATGCACTGGGGCTGGGGAGGGCTGCTAATTGGCATAGCTAACAGGTTCCCAGGGACACTGGTGCTCAAGTGTAGTGATCACCCTCTGAGAACCACTGCAGGAGACTGGTTACATCCTGAGACCATCTTGATTTGCTTATTTATTTATTTAGAGGCAGAGTCTCGCTCTGTTGCCCAGGCTGGAGTGCAGCCTTATGATCTTGGCTCACTGCAACCTCTGCCTCCCAGATTTAAGCAATTCTCCTGCCTCAGCCTCCCAAGTAGCTGGGATTACAGGCATGCGCCACCACACCCTGCTAATTTTTGTATTTTTAGTAGAGACGGGCTTTCACCATGTTGGCCAGGCTGGTCTTGAACTCCTGACCTCAGGGGATCCACCCGCCTTGGCCTCCCAAAGCGCTCAGCTTACAGGTGTGAGCCACCGTGCTCGGCCTGCATCTGAATTTATATACATCACTGTCACAGAGCCCTTTTTGGTTGGCGTTGATGAGAGGGGCATTTGTTTTTTAACAAATAAAGATTTTTTCATTAAAAAATCACTTTACCTCATATATAATGACTAGAGAATAACCAATATGTGTTAAGATGTGGATGCTGGTGGTTAGTTGGGCTCAGGTGTCTGCTGCACAACTCCCCCTGCATGCCAGCCTTCCCACCTGAGATTCAAACCCACGTCTCTGCAAAATGACAAACTACTCCTTTTCAGAGGCCTGCAGGGATGCTTGGGTATCTTTGGGACCTTGGATAGAATTAATATATATATTTTTTGAGATGGAGTCTCACTCTGTTGCCCAGGCTGGAATGCAGTGGTGCAATCTTAGCTCACTGCAACCTCTGCCTCTCGGGTCCAAGCGATTCTCCTGCCTCAGCCTCTGGAGTAGCTGGGATTACAGACGCCCGCCACCACACCCAGCTAATGTTTGTATTTATTTTAGTAGAGATGGGGTTTCATTGCGTTGGCCAGGTTGGTCTCAAACTCCTGACCTTATGATCTGCCCACCTCAGCTTCCCAAAGTGCTGGGATTACAAGTGTGAGCCACCGCGCCTGGCTGGAATTAATATTTAAGAGTAGTGATATGAATGTGATCTCAGTGTTAAGTCTTCACAGGTCCAGGTCTGCCCAAAGCTTATACAGGCCTGAGCTTGGTCCCTGGGCACTAAGCGAGGCATGCCCCACAGGCAGAGAGGAGAAGGGGATCAGGAAAGGTCACAGGGGTTGGTGAGTTGACAGTTCACTTGGGGTCTTGAAGGATGAATCATTTTCTAGCACTGGAGCGATGGTGGGATGAGGGACATTTTGAGCAGAGGGAACAGTCTTTGTAGGCATGGAGGTGAGAAAGGGCAGGACTGGTTCAAAGAACAGAGAGAAGGGTGCAGACGTTGCTTTGTATGTCTGCGTGCTGGGGGGCAGGAGGAAGAATGGCAGGAGATGAAGCTGTATTACAAAAACCTTGAGCGTGAGGCTGAAAAATTAGACTTTATTCTGAAGTAAAGGTGATAGAGGATCACTTGACATTTTATAGGAGTGAGGAGTGACTCAAAAACTGCTATTGAGTGGGGCTGGGGCTACAGAAGAAGTCTGGCAGTGCTGGGAGCCAAATGGGAGGTAAAACGAATGAAAGAGAAATAAAAAAATTAGTTCTTCAGTAGTAGCAGCCACATCCCAAAGGCTCTATGGTCACATGCAGGCCGTGGCTACCACTGGACAGTGCAACTGCAGAACTTCCCCATCCTTGCAGAAAGTTGTGCAAGACAGTGCTGGTCTAGAAGGGGCCCATGGTGTCTGCATGGGCATATCCCCTTGGATTCACAGATTCCTCACCTCGGGGAGAGAGGGGTGTGGCCACAGGAGGACCAGAGTGGAACACTCTAAAAGTGGAGGGCATGCTTGTTGCCCAAGGTCAAGGACAGTTGGCAGGTGGTGCTGAGTTGGAAGGTCATTAGACTCAGGGCCTGGGGCTGCCATGTTTGGGTGGCTGGGAAGGCTGAGTGCAGGGAGATGAGAAGCCTGTCTGTGTAGAGAGCGGGAGCAAGGCAACAGACCTGCATCCCTGCATGTGACAGAAGCAGAGAGAATGGGGCCCTGATGGACTTCCATTCCCGTGACACCTGGGTATCTTCAAATTAATGCTGCCCCCACTTTTACCCAAGATAGTTTGAGTGGGTTTTTGTTTCTTGCAACCCCAATGATGAGGAGTGGTTGACTCCCCGTCACCCAGCCCAGGACGGGGCACACACCAGTGTTCCACCAAAGCTCGTTGAGCTGTCAAGTGAACGTGGGACAAGCAGAGGGAGGGAGAAGGCTGGGGGCTGCCCCTTTTTCCTCCTCCCACCCCCTCGAATGCAGATGGAGATACTGGGGACGGGAACCTGAAAGATGTTCCCTTTTCCCTTCACCTTTGGCACCTGGAATGTGGTTCCCCTCCATCCCAAGCTACACGTGTGCATTGGTGGTGCTGTCTGTGATGTCTTCCCTCACATCACCAAGGGCTCACGTCAATTCAGGTGGCAGTTTAGAACCAATTAAAATGTATAAGCCACAGGTAGTGAGTGAAATCCCAAGGATTAATTTGCTCAGTGGAGTGTTAATCTGTGTAATGTCATAGGCGCTTCTTCAAACAATGCGGCAAGATGGAGCCGGGAGGTTCTTCCCCACCCCTGTTTTCCTGTAAATGCCCTAGTTGGTCCCCCTGGGCTGGGTGGGTGTGGCTTCATCTCCTCTGAGCGCTGGGAAGGGCTGAGTTAGCTTTTTGGGCCCCCACCCGAGCCTCCTAGAACCCAGTCCTCCTCCTTGCTACTGGGCAGGGCCGCCAACCACACTGGCAGAGATAGGCCCTCTCCTCTCTGTCCAGCCTTCCTTTGCTCTGTGCTTCCTTTCTGCATTGCCCCTGGGGCAAGGTACGGGAAGGCACAGTAATGGGCAGATCCAACCTGCCCCCAGGACTTGCTTCCCAGGGCTTTGTAATTAGAATCCTTCCCAATTAGCAGGTAGAGTGGATCAGCATCCAAGTTAATAACATGGCGATGCCCACCTGTCCAGCCAGTCCCCCTGCCTCCAAGACAGCCCAAAGAGCAGGAGAGAGGACTTACTAATGATGAGCTGCATGTCCAATCACAGCCCCATGGCTGGCTGGTTGTGAGCCTGTCCACTGAGTCTTGGTGCTGGGATTCAGGAGACCTGTGTTCTAATTAAATTCCTTCCCCCACCAGAGCTTAGCTCAAGAAAACCTTGTCTCAAGGGAGCTCGGTTTTCACCTGGAGAATCTAAACGTCAGTGTGTGCAAGTCAGAGCACTCACTTTGCAGCCAGTGACACTGGACCCTGGCTTATGTGGCTTGTCTGGAGAGCTAGGCAGTGGCCAACAGTGGGAGCCATTTAATAGAATGGCTAAGAATTATCGCTTTGGAGCCAGACAGACCTAGATTCAAGTCCTTTCTCTGAACGTAGTAGCTGATGCCCTTAAGCACATTTTAAAACTTCTCTGAGCTTGTTTCTTATTACTAGAATGGCGATCAAAATACCTACATTGCAGAGTTGCATGACGTATATGAAGTGGTAGCACAGTACTTGCAAATAGCCATCCCTTAACAAGCGGTGGCTTGTATTATTGTCGTTAATAGTAATGATAACAAAAGTATCCTTAAATGTCCTGAGCCCCAGCCTTCATGCTGTCTGGTCCCTATCAACCTCCCCTGCCAATAAAAAAGACCTGTTCTGTCTACCTTACCTGTGGGCTCTGACAATGAGGTGGGACAATGGATAGGATAGCTTTGAAAAGGATATAATTGACCAGGCGTGGTAGCTCACACCTGCAATCCTAGCAGTTTGGGAGGCCAAGGCCAAAGCAGATCACTTGAGGTCAGGAGTTTGACACCAGCCTGGTCAACAAGGTGAGACCCCGACTCTACTAAAAATACTAAAATTAGCCAGAAATCGCTTGAACCTGGGAGGCAGAGTTGCAGTGAGCCAAGATCGTGCACTCCAGCCTGGGCAACATAGCGAGAATCCGTCTCAAAAAAAAAAAAGGTATAATTGATATTTAAGCATAAATAATTATTATTACCATTTAGCTTTAAATGGAAGGCCCCAGAATTCTCTGGGGATGGCTCACTCACTCTGATGACATGGGGAAGGAAGTTCAGGACAGAATTTCCTCTTGGCTTCAGAAGACTCTGCATTGGGGTGAGCATTGTTAATTCAACTTCATTATTGCCAGCAACAGAAATTGATCTAGCTGATTTAAGTAGTAAAGAAATTTGTTGAAAGAGAATATGATCATTTGGAGCATTAGTGGGAAAACTGGGGAACCAGGATGAGGGTGGCTGGGCACTAAGACCCCAGTCTAAACTGTGCTGTAGGGAAAACTTAGCATGCAGCTTATGTTCTTTATGGACGTGTACCTGGACCACACCCTGGTGCCCTGTGAACATAGGTGCTGCCTAAACCGTTGAGATTCATTCTCTCCTGACTCTGTCTGTCTAAGTCACCTGTAAGTCCTGGGTATCTGTTTGGCTCTTCCTTGGTGATATGCTAGAGTCTAGTTGTATAGAGGAGCAGGGAAATTTTAAACAAGTGTTAGACCTGTACTGTTTTCTGTATTAGGAGGAGGACTCTGCTCCCTGAAGACCCAGGTGGTAGGAGAGCTGCAGGGGCTTCCTATTCACCGCACCTTTCTTTCTTGCATTCCTTCCAGGGAGGATTATGTTGACCCCTTTCTGCCCATGAGAAAATGGAGGCGCCTTTCTTCCCAGACCTGCCTAAGATCAAATCGCTGGTAAGTGGCTGAGCCAAGATGATAGAACTCAGTTTGCTGGCTCCAGATCCTGTCCAATGCAAATGGTGGAAAGAGGTTGTTGGTTGCTAATGACCTGAACAGGGGATGGGCGGCACCCTCTTATGGCCCAGAGAGCTTTCCTTGCCTTGCCCGAGCTGCAAGAGCTCAGGGTCCCAGATTCAAGATCTGGATTAGTTAGAGCTGGCAATTCTCAGGCAGTCGCTGACCTTGCAGAACTTCCTTGGGCTGGTGCCACTGCTACTTCCTTGCAGGGAGGAGGAAGATGCTTCTGGAGTGCTGGAGGAGGTTCTGCCATGACCTGGTCCCATTTTCCTCTTCTGATTACCAAGTGCCAATGAGGTCAGACAACTGATCAAAGTGAACATCTCTGCCTATTGAAATCCCCCTCTTCCTTCAGATCCAGGTCAAATGCCCCTCTCTGTGAAGGTTTCCTGATCAGCCCCGGTGGGCTGGATCTTTTAATTTTAGTTTTTAAATTTAAAAAAATTTTAATTTTTATTTATTTTATATTTGTGTAGGTTTTTGGGGGAACAGGTGGTGTTTGATTACATTACTAAGTTCTTTAGTGGTGATTTCTGAGATTTTGGTGCACCCATCAATCTTTTTCTTATTTTTTAGAGACCGGGTATAGCTCTGTCGTCTAGGCTGGAGTGCAGTGGTGCAGTCACTCCTCACTGTAACCTTGAACTCCTGGGCTTAAGTCATCCTCCCTCCTCAGTTTTCCAAGTAGCTGGAACTACAGGTGCATGTCACCAAGCTCAGCTAATTTTTAAAGTTCTTTTATAGAGATGGGGACTCACTGTATTGCCTAGGCTGGTCTCGAACTCCAGAGATTAAGTGGTCTGCCTGCCTCAGCCTCCAAAAGTGCTGGGATTACAAGTGTGAGCCACCATGACCAGCCATGGATCTCTTTATTCTTGCATTGCTGGAGTCCCAGGCAGAGTGAGATATTAATCCTTTCCTCAGAGTTGGCAGCCAGGACTTGGATTCCTTGATATTGCCCACCCCATGGCAAATTATAGGTGCACAGTAATGTTTTATAAAAACAGAAAGGTCTCCTGCTTTTATGTCTCCTCTCCACAGATATAAGTGCTTTATGGTGAGGGGATTCATGTGGCTAGAACAGGGGGTATGTGGCAGGGTAGCTGGAGGTGTGGCAGGGTGGCTGGAGGCTAGACAGGGCTCAGTGTTGGGGCTTGCTGAAGGAGGCCCTGTATTCTCCAGGCTGCAAGGAGGCTTGATCCTGTGGGCAGTGGGAGCCATCGGAGGTGCTCTGTCAACCTGTGCTGAGAAGTGGGCTCTGGCAGTGGTAAGGTGAGAAGCCCAGGGCTAAAGGTAAAGTCTGGATGAGGACAACCAGGGGTGCTTGATGAGTCTGAATTAGGCATGGGGAGGCCAGTGCTGGAATTAGCAGTCAAGAAAAAGAAGGGAAAAAGGACTGGGCATGGTGGCTCATGTCTGTAATCCCAGCACTTTGGGAGGCCGAGGCGGGCAGATCACTTGAGGTCAGGAGTTCGAGATCAGCCTGGCTAACATGGTGAAACCCTGTCTCTACTTAAATACAAAAATTAGCTGGGCATGGCGGTGCATGCCTGTAATCCGAGCTACTTGGAGGCTGAGGCAGGAGAATCGCTTGAACCTGGGAGGCAGAGGTTGCAGTGAGCCCAGATCTCGCCACTGCACTCCAGCCTGGGTGACAGAAAGAGACTCTGTCTCAAAAACAAACAAACAAACAAAACAAAAACATAAAAAAGAAGGGAAAAGGGGAAACATAAAAAAGAAGGGGAGACTCACATTGCCCGGTGGCCTCTGATGGGCTGGGCAGTGTGTAATACAGTGAAAAGGGGTTCAGGAGAATTCTCAAAACCCCAGGGGCACACCCTTTTCAAAAGGAGGGGCAATAGCAACTCTATAGACTACAGAGGAGGCTAGTCTGTGGAGGGCTGAAGATAGGTGGCTGGAATGGGCAGCGAGGAGGCCCATGGCAGCCCGGTGTGATGGTTTTCTAGGGCATGATGGTGGCAGGATTGATGCTGCTGCTCGAACCACACAACTAGTTGGAAATGCAAACACTGCTGGACCTGGCACAGCACGACTCGGCATTGCTAATTAGCCCTGAGATTATTCCTTGCAAGGAAGCAACTCCATCACACCTGACTT
This sequence comes from Homo sapiens, assembly GCF_000001405.40. Classification (NCBI taxonomy): domain Eukaryota; kingdom Metazoa; phylum Chordata; class Mammalia; order Primates; family Hominidae; genus Homo; species Homo sapiens. The sequence goes on from NC_000010.11 coordinate 78,086,720, forward strand.
ATGGCTGAACTACCTGAGCAGGAGGCAGGTTGAGTTCGTGGCTGCTGGTGGACACCTTTCGCCTTGATTTTTTTTCAGAAATGCCCCAAACAATCACCCAGCTCCTACCTCCTGGTCCTACCTCTCCAGGGTGACAGTTCTTAAGTCTTATTAGTTAACAGAGGGACTGATTTGCGGAACAGAAAAGTCATGAAGAGAGAATGTGGTGTAAATGTTAATCGTTTTTTTAACTTCGCATTATGTGATCCGTTAACATTAATATTTAATTTAATGCAGTCAAAAGATTAATGCATGTGTTTATTTCTAAAAAAGGCAAGGATGCTTCAGGCTGCTTTTCAGCTTGGTTGAGCTTTGGGAAAAAAAGAAAAAAAACATCACCACAACAACCCACCCAGCCCAGAAGAAATGTATTCATGCCATAATAATACAAGTATCCTCTCTCCCACCCGCTCTCCCTCCTCAATTCCTAAAAATAAGCCACAGGGTTCTAATGGGGACCCTGATTAAATATTCGGCTCTGTAATTTATGCCCAAGTGAATCCCAACAGGAACCAGAGGCCCTGGAAATCTGTTGTGAAATAATTATCCTGAATGACATTGTGGAGATGGTCTGCGAGGGTGCTGTCAATAATGCATTAGCCCAAATCTGTTTGAAATACAGCAAGGAAATTACACGATATTCATGGGAACCTGAAAGAATTATCAGTAAACAAATTTAATCAACTTGATGTTATGCATACCACTCAACCTCTTATTATCTGATCATCTAGGTTTAGAACACGCAGGGGAATTGAATGACGTGGGATGCAAGGCTGAGGCTGTGTGTGTGTGTGTGTGTGTGTGTGTGTGTGTGTGTGTGTAAGCTTGGTGGAATTGGCCTCAGATCTTTGCATTTCTTCTCCTTAGCAGCATTTCATTTGCATTTTTCTCTAGGCCTGATTGTTGGCTGCCAGCTTTCATCCCAGCCTGGCCCCTGAACTCCCATTTTTTTCCCCCAGTGTCAAAGCCATCTTTAGAAAAGTCAGCTGACTGCCCACCCATCCTCCAGATCCCTTCTGTCTTTCAGAGAAGGAGTGGCTGCCTCTGCCCAATATTTCAGAAGCAAAGAGGTAGGGTGGAGAGGAATTGAGTGCTGTTATCTGGAGAGATGCTTCTACCATAGAAGAAAGAGCCCTGTAACCTCATGGTGGGAGTGAGGATCTGCTGCTAATTTGTTGGGTGATCTTATTTAAGTCCCTTTCCATCTCTGGGCCTTAGTTTTTCCATCTGTAAAATGGAACTTGGGATGGATGGTCTGTGTGATTTTATGACACCTTGGTAGAAGCTTGGCAGCATCTCATTTGCTGGATTGTTCTCTTTGTCCTCTGGAACCTGATGGGTATCCAAGAGGAAAGGAGCTTTCTCAAGATCTTATGGGAAGGTGGAGGCAGAGTCAAGATGAGAGCTTTCAGATCCACTTCTCACAACCCCTCCACCCCCAAAGTCAGAACATTGCTTTTCCTCTGCACTAAAAGCCCTGGGAAGCATTTTGGAGTCTTTATTTTAAACTTAGCTCTTGGGTTTGCTGAGAGGGGACTTGGGTTGTCCTTCCCAGGTCTACAAATCCCTTTCAATTTCTAGACCTCAGCTTCCCACTCTCCACACGACAAAGGGGTTGGATGAGGCGGCCTTTCAGAGACCTCTTATCCCAGCTTTGATATTCTACACTGTTATCTATGTTTTAAATTCCTTGGGGAGGAGCCAAGATGGCCGAATAGGAACAGCTCCGGTCTACAGCTCCCAGCGTGAGCGACGCAGAAGACGGGTGATTTCTGCATTTCCATCTGAGGTACCAGGTTCATCTCACTAGGGAGTGCCAGACAGTGGGCGCAGGCCAGTGGGTGTGCGCACCGTGCGCGAGCCGAAGCAGGGCGAGGCATTGCCTCACCTGGGAAGCGCAAGGGGTCAGGGAGTTCCCTTTCCGAGTCAAAGAAAGGGGTGACGGATGCACCTGGAAAATCGGGTCACTCCCACCCGAATACTGCGCTTTTCAGACCGGCTTAAAAAACGGCGCACCACGAGACTATATCCCACACCTGGCTTGGAGGGTCCTACGCCCACGGAATCTCGCTGATTGCTAGCACAGCAGTCTGAGATCAAACTGCAAGGCGGCAGCGAGGCTGGGGGAGGGGAGCCCGCCATTGCCCAGGCTTGCTTAGGTAAACAAAGCAGCCTGGAAGCTCGAGCTGGGTGGAGCCCACCACAGCTCAAGGAGGCCTGCCTGCCTCTGTAGGCTCCACCTCTGGGGGCAGGGCACAGACAAACAAGAAGACAGCAGTAACCTCTGCAGACTTAAATGTCCCTGTCTGACAGCTTTGAAGAGAGCAGTGGTTCTTCCAGCACACAGCTGGAGATCTGAGAACGGGCAGACTACCTCCTCAAGTGGGTCCCTGACCCCTGACCCCCGAGCAGCCTAACTGGGAGGCACCCCCCAGCAGGGGCACACTGACACCTCACACGGCAGGGTATTCCAACAGACCTGCAGCTGAGGGTCCTGTCTGTTAGAAGGAAAACTAACAAACAGAAAGGACATCCACACCGAAAACCCATCTGTACATCACCATCATCAAAGACCAAAAGTAGATAAAACCACAAAGATGGGGAAAAAACAGAACAGAAAAACTGGAAACTCTAAAACGCAGAGCGCCTCTCCTCCTCCAAAGGAACGCAGTTCCTCACCAGCAACGGAACAAAGCTGGATGGAGAATGACTTTGACGAGCTGAGAGAAGAAGGTTTCAGACGATCAAATTACTCTGAGCTACGGGAGGACATTCAAACCAAAGGCAAAGAAGTTGAAAACTTTGAAAAAAATTTAGAAGAATGTATAACTAGAATAACCAATACAGAGAAGTGCTTAAAGGAGCTGATGGAGCTGAAAACCAAGGCTCGAGAACTACGTGAAGAATGCAGAAGCCTCAGGAGCCGATGCGATCAACTGGAAGAAAGGGTATCAGCAATGGAAGATGAAATGAATGAAATGAAGCGAGAAGGGAAGTTTAGAGAAAAAAGAATAAAAAGAAATGAGCAAAGCCTCCAAGAAATATGGGACTATGTGAAAAGACCAAATCTACGTCTGATTGGTGTACCTGAAAGTGATGCGGAGAATGGAACCAAGTTGGAAAACACTCTGCAGGATATTATCCAGGAGAACTTCCCCAATCTAGCAAGGCAGGCCAACGTTCAGATTCAGGAAATACAGAGAATGCCACAAAGATACTCCTCGAGAAGAGCAACTCCAAGACACATAATTGTCAGATTCACCAAAGTTGAAATGAAGGAAAAAATGTTAAGGGCAGCCAGAGAGAAAGGTCGGGTTACCCTCAAAGGGAAGCCCATCAGACTAACAGCGGATCTCTCGGCAGAAACCCTACAAGCCAGAAGAGAGTGGGGGCCAATATTCAACATTCTTAAAGAAAAGAATTTTCAACCCAGAATTTCATATCCAGCCAAACTAAGCTTCATAAGTGAAGGAGAAATAAAATACTTTACAGACAAGCAAATGCTGAGAGATTTTGTCACCACCAGGCCTGCCCTAAAAGAGCTCCTGAAGGAAGCGCTAAACATGGAAAGGAACAACCGGTACCAGCCGCTGCAAAATCATGCTAAAATGTAAAGACCATCGAGACTAGGAAGAAACTGCATCAACTAACGAGCAAAATCACCAGCTAACATCATAATGACAGGATCAAATTCACACATAACAATATTAACTTTAAATGTAAATGGACTAAATTCTCCAATTAAAAGACACAGACTGGCAAATTGGATAAAGAGTCAAGACCCATCAGTGTGCTGTATTCAGGAAACCCATCTCACGTGGAGAGACACACATAGGCTGAAAATAAAAGGATGGAGGAAGATCTACCAAGCAAATGGAAAACAAAAAAAGGCAGGGGTTGCAATCCTAGTCTCTGATAAAACAGACTTTAAACCAACAAAGATCAAAAGAGACAAAGAAGGCCATTACATAATGGTAAAGGGATCAATTCAACAAGAGGAGCTAACTATCCTAAATATATATGCACCCAATACAGGAGCACCCAGATTCATAAAGCAAGTCCTGAGTGACCTACAAAGAGACTTAGACTCCCACACATTAATAATGGGAGACTTTAACACCCCACTGTCAACATTAGACAGATCAACGAGACAGAAAGTCAACAAGGATACCCAGGAATTGAACTCATCTCTGCACCAAGCGGACCTAATAGACATCTACAGAACTCTCCACCCCAAATCAACAGAATATACGTTTTTTTCAGCACCACACCACACCTATTCCAAAATTGACCACATAGTTGGAAGTAAAGCTCTCCTCAGCAAATGTAAAAGAACAGAAATTATAACAAACTATCTCTCAGACCACAGTGCAATCAAACTAGAACTCAGGATTAAGAATCTCACTCAAAGCCGCTCAACTACATGGAAACTGAACAACCTGCTCCTGAATGACTACTGGGTACATAACGAAATGAAGGCAGAAATAAAGATGTTCTTTGAAACCAACGAGAACAAAGACACAACATACCAGAATCTCTGGGACGCATTCAAAGCAGTGTGTAGAGGGAAATTTATAGCACTAAATGCCCACAAGAGAAAGCAGGAAAGATCCAAAATTGACACCCTAACATCACAATTAAAAGAACTAGAAAAGCAAGAGCAAACACATTCAAAAGCTAGCAGAAGGCAAGAAATAACTAAAATCAGAGCAGAACTGAAGGAAATAGAGACACAAAAACCCTTCAAAAAATCAATGAATCCAGGAGCTGGTTTTTTGAAAGGATCAACAAAATTGATAGACCGCTAGCAAGACTAATAAAGAAAAAAAGAGAGGAGAATCAAATAGACACAATAAAAAATGATAAAGGGGATATCACCACCGATCCCACAGAAATACAGACTACCATCAGAGAATACTACAAACACCTCTACGCAAATAAACTAGAAAATCTAGAAGAAATGGATACATTCCTTGACACATACACTCTCCCAAGACTAAACCAGGAAGAAGTTGAATCTCTGAATAGACCAATAACAGGAGCTGAAATTGTGGCAATAATCAATAGTTTACCAACCAAAAAGAGTCCAGGACCAGATGGATTCACAGCCGAATTCTACCAGAGGTACAAGGAGGAACTGGTACCATTCCTTCTGAAACTATTCCAATCAATAGAAAAAGAGGGAATCCTCCCTAACTCATTTTATGAGGCCAGCATCGTTCTGATACCAAAGCCGGGCAGAGACACAACCAAAAAAGAGAATTTTAGACCAATATCCTTGATGAACATTGATGCAAATATCCTCAATAAAATACTGGCAAACCGAATCCAGCAGCACATCAAAAAGCTTATCCACCATGATCAAGTGGGCTTCATCCCTGGGATGCAAGGCTGGTTCAATATACGCAAATCAATAAATGTAATCCAGCATATAAACAGAGCCAAAGACAAAAACCACATGATTATCTCAATAGATGCAGAAAAAGCCTTTGACAAAATTCAACAACCCTTCATGCTAAAAACTCTCAATAAATTAGGTATTGATGGGACGTATTTCAAAATAATAAGAGCTATCTATGACAAACCCACAGCCAATATCATACTGAATGGGCAAAAACTGGAAGCATTCCCTTTGAAAACTGGCACAAGACAGGGATGCCCTCTCTCACCGCTCCTATTCAACATAGTGTTGGAAGTTCTGGCCAGGGCAATCAGGCAGCAGAAGGAAATAAAGGGTATTCAATTAGGAAAAGAGGAAGTCAAATTGTCCCTGTTTGCAGACGACATGATTGTTTATCTAGAAAACCCCATCATCTCAGCCCAAAATCTCCTTAAGCTGATAAGCAACTTCAGCAAAGTCTCAGGATACAAAATCAATGTACAAAAATCACAAGCATTCTTATACACCAACAACAGACAAACAGAGAGCCAAATCATGAGTGAACTCCCATTCACAATTGCTTCAAAGAGAATAAAATACCTAGGAATCCAACTTACAAGGGATGTGAAGGACCTCTTCAAGGAGAACTACAAACCACTGCTCAATGAAATAAAAGAGGATACAAACAAATGGAAGAACATTCCATGCTCATGGGTAGGAAGAATCAATATCGTGAAAATGGCCATACTGCCCAAGGTAATTTACAGATTCAATGCCATCCCCATCAAGCTACCAATGACTTTCTTCACAGAATTGGAAAAAACTACTTTAAAGTTCATATGGAACCAAAAAAGAGCCCGCATCGCCAAGTCAATCCTAAGCCAAAAGAACAAAGCTGGAGGCATCACACTACCTGACTTCAAACTATACTACAAGGCTACAGTAACCAAAACAGCATGGTACTGGTACCAAAACAGAGATATAGATCAATGGAACAGAACAGAGCCCTCAGAAATAATGCCGCATACCTACAACTATCTGATCTTTGACAAACCTGAGAAAAACAAGCAATGGGGAAAGGATTCCCTATTTAATAAATGGTGCTGGGAAAACTGGCTAGCCATATGTAGAAAGCTGAAACTGGATCCCTTCCTTACACCTTATACAAAAATCAATTCAAGATGAATTAAAGATTTAAACGTTAGACCTAAAACCATAAAAACCCTAGAAGAAAACCTAGGCATTACCATTCAGGACATAGGCGTGGGCAAGGACTTCATGTCTAAAACACCAAAAGCAATGGCAACAAAAGCCAAAATTGACAAATGGGATCTAATTAAACTAAAGAGCTTCTGCACAGCAAAAGAAACTACCATCACAGTGAACAGGCAACCTACAGAATGGGAGAAAATTTTCGCAACCTACTCATCTGACAAAGGGCTAATATCCAGAATCTACAATGAACTCAAACAAATTTACAAGAAAAAAACAAACAACCCCATCAAAAAGTGGGCGAAGGACATGAACAGACACTTCTCAAAAGAAGACATTTATGCAGCCAAAAAACACATGAAAAAATGCTCACCATCACTGGCCATCAGAGAAATGCAAATCAAAACCACAATGAGATACCATCTCACACCAGTTAGAATGGCAATCATTAAAAAGTCAGGAAACAACAGGTGCTGGAGAGGATGTGGAGAAATAGGAACACTTTTATACTGTTGGTGGGACTGTAAACTAGTTCAACCATTGTGGAAGTCAGTGTGGCGATTCCTCAGGGATCTAGAACTAGAAATACCATTTGACCCAGCCATCCCATTACTGGGTATATACCCAAATGACTATAAATCATGCTGCTATAAAGACACATGCACACGTATGTTTATTGCGGCATTATTCACAATAGCAAAGACTTGGAACCAACCCAAATGTCCAACAATGATAGACTGGATTAAGAAAATGTGGCACATATACACCGTGGAATACTATGCAGCCATAAAAAATGATGAGTTCATGTCCTTTGTAGGGACATGGATGAAATTGGAAACCATCATTCTCAGTAAACTATCGCAAGAACAAAAAACCAAACACCGCATATTCTCACTCATAGGTGGGAATTGAACAATGAGATCACATGGTCACAGGAAGGGGAATATCACACTCTGGGGACTGTGGTGGGGTGGGGGGAGGGGGGAGGGGTGGCATTGGGAGATATACCTAATGCTAGATGACGAGTTAGTGGGTGCAACGCACCATCATGGCACATGTATACATATGTAACTAACCTGCACAATGTGCACATGTACCCTAAAACTTAAAGTATAAAAAAAAAAATAAATTCCTTAATTGGCTATAGGTTTGTGCTTTGAGGAAGGGAGTCTAGTTTCCATTTCTACACTGAATGCTCCTTTCCACTTTGTTGTGAAGTGCAAGTGTATTCTTGTTGAGCACCTGCTGTGGTTGGCACCCAGGACCAGGCACTGTAGGGTGGATATGCTCATTGAGTCCTGTTTTGTGCCTGGCCCTGCACCTCGTGTTGGGATAACTTGATGGCACTTGGGAAGTTCTACTTGCAGACTAAGAAAGCCAATTCGCTCAACGAGTTCTTTCGGGGCACCTACCATATGTCTGTCCCTATTCTTGGCATTAGGTGGGATAATAGTATTTATTGAATATGGACTATGAGCTAAGCACTGAGCTGAGCACTTCACATGTTTAAAAGCATAGTGAATTCCCCTTGCCTCAGAATGGATCATCAGGAAGTAAAGGTAGAGACAAGAGGCAGAATGCACTTGTGTCATAAAGAATACTCAAAACAGCCAGGCGCAGTGGCTCACACCTGCAATCCCAGCACTTTGGGAGGCTGAGGTGGGCAGATCACAAGGTGAGGAGATCGAGACCATCCTGGCTAACACGGTGAAATCCCATCTCTACTAAAAATACAAAAAATTAGCCGGGCATGGTGGCAGGCGCCTGTAGTCTTAGCTACTCAGGAGGCTGAGGCAGGAGAATGGCATTACCCAGGAGGCAGAGCTTGCAGTGAGCCGAGATAGCGACACTGCACTACCGCACTCCAGCCTGGGTGACAGCGAGACTCCATCTCAAAAAAAAAAAAAAAAGAATACTCAAAACAAAGAGGTGCAGGCAACCCCCCAGAAGCTACTGAATGGGTTCTTCTACCTCCAGCTATCACTGAAGCTCAGCCCTGTGTGAAGCCCACATAGTCCCAGCCTAACAGATGAAAGTGTATTTCTGGCACTGTCCAATAATGGTAGCCACTAGCCTCAGGTGGCTGTTGAGCATTTGAAATGTGACTAGTCCAGACTGAGAAGTGCTGTAAATGTAAAATACAAAATGGATGGTGAAGATTTATGCAATAAAATAGTGTGAAGTTATCTCATTAATAATTTTTTATATTGAGTACATGTTGCAATATTTTGGAGATAACTGAGTTAAATAAAATATTGTATTAAAATTAATTCAACCAATAGTCATATTACTTGCTTTATTATGACTAAATATGACTAAAATTTAAAATTCCATATGTATCTTGCATTATATTTCATTGGACAGTGCTGGTTTAGATATTCAAAGAATTTATCTCAAGAGATTAGGGAGTCCTTGGAGGATGGTGATTGTGGCTCCTCTGATTTCTCATGGGAGAGGTTAGAGGGGAGTTTGTCCTCCACTCCATGTAAAGGGTTCTAAGAGAATTACTCATAGAGATGTGGAGGAGCTGATGAAGATTGGTGATATGGTTTGGCTGTGTCCCCACCCAAATCTTATCTTGAATTGTATTTTCCATAATCCCCACATGACAAGTCATGGGAGGGACCAAGTGGAGATAATTGAATCATGGGGGCAGTTTCCCCCATACTGTTCTCATAATAGTGAGTTAGTTCTCATGAGATCTGCTGGTTTTATAAAGGGCTTCCCCTTGCTGGCAAGATGGCCAAATAGGATCAGCTCTGGTCTTCAGCTCCCAGTGAGACTGAGGCAGAAGGTGAGTGATTTCTGCATTTCCAACTGAGGTACCTTGCTCATCTCATTGGGACTGGTTGGACAGTGGGTGCAGCCCAAGAAGGGCAAGCCAAAGCAGAATGGGGTGTCGCCTCACCTGGGAAGTGCAAGGGGTTGGGGCACTCCCTCTCCCAGCCAAGGGAAGCCATTAGGGACTGTATCATGTACTCCGGCCCAGATACTGTGCTTTTCCCATGGTCTTCGCAACCTGCAGACCAGGAGATTCCCTCTGGTACCTACACCACCAGGGCCCTGGGTTTCCAGCACAAAACTGGGAGGCCGTTTGGGCAGACACTGAGCTAGCCGCAGGAGTCTTTTTTTTCATACCCCAGTGGCACTTGGAACACCAGCGAGACAGAACCATTTACTCCCCCGGAAAGGGGGCTGAAGCCAGGGAGCCAAGTGGTCTGGCTTGGCGGGTCCCACCCCAACGGAGTCCAGAAAGCTAAGATCCACTGGCTTGAAATTCTTGCTGCCAGCAAAGAAGCCTGAGCTTGACCTGGGATGCTGGAGCTTGGTGGGGGGAGGGGCGACCACCATTGCTGAGGCTTGAGTAGGTGGTTTTACCCTCACAGTGTAAATAAAAACCGCCAGGAAGTTTGAACTGGGCGGAGCCCACCGCAGCTCAGCAAGGCTGCTGTGGCCAGACTGCCTCTCTAGATTCCCTCCTCTCTGGGCAGGGCATCTCTGAATAAAAGGCAGTAGCCCCAGTCAGGGACTTATAGATAAAACCCCCACCTCCCTGGGACAGAGCACCTGGGGGAAGGGGCGGTTGTGGGCGCAGCTTCAGCAGACTTAAACGTCCCTGCCTGGCAGCTCTGAAGACAGAAGCACATCTCCCAGCACAGCGTTCGAGCTCTGATAGGGACAGACTGCCTCCCCAAGTGGGTCCCTGACCCCTGTGTATACTGACTAGGAGACACCTCCCAGTAGGGGCCAAAAGACACCTCATACAGGAGAGCTCTGGCTGGCATCTGGCGGGTGCTCCTCTGGGATGAAGTTTCCAGGGGAAGGAATAGGCAGCAATGTTTGCTGTTCTGCAGCCTCCACTGGTGATACCCAGGCAAACAGGGTCTGGAGTGGACATCCAGCAAACTCCAGCAGACCTGCAGCAGAGGGGCCTGACTGTTAGAAGGAAAACTAACAAACAGAAAGGAATAGTATCAACATCAACAAAAAGGACATCCACTCAGAAACCCAGCTGAAGGTCACTGACTTCAAAGACCAAAGGTAGATAAATCCACAAAGATGGGGAGAAACCAGTGCAAAAAGGCTGAAAATTCCAAAAACCAGAATGCCTCTTCTCCTCCAAAGGATCAGAACTCCTCACCAACAAGGTAACAAAACTGGATGGAGAATGAGTTTGATGAATTGACAGAAGTAGACTTTAGAAGGTGGGTAATAACAGACTCCTCCAAGCTAAAGGAGCATGTTCTAACCCAATGCAAGGAAGCTAAGAACCTTGAAAAAAGGTTAGAGGAATTGCTAACTAGAGTAACCAGTTTAGAGAAGATAAATGACCTGATGGAGCTGAAAAACACAGCACGAGAACTTCTTGAAGCATACACGAGTATCAATAGCCGAATAGATCAAGTGGAAGAAAGGATATCCGAGATTGAAGATCAACTCAATGAAATAAAGTGAGAAGACAAGATTACAGAAAAAAGAGTGAAAAGAAATGAACAAAGTTTCCAAAAATATGGGACTATGTGAAAAGACCAAATCTACATTTGATTTGTATACCTGAAAGTGACGGGGAAAGTGTAACCAAGTTGGAGAACACTCTTCAGGATATCACTCAGGAGAACTTCCTCAACCTAGCAAGGCAGGGCAACATTCAAATTCAGGAAATATAGAGAACACCCTGAAGATACTCCTCGAGAAGAGCAACCCCAAGACACATAATCATCAAATTCACCAAGGTTGAAATGAAGGAAAAAATGTTAAGGGCAGACAGACAGAAAGGTTGGGTTACCCACAAAGGGAAGCCCATCAGACTAACAGCAGATCTCTCGGTAGAAAGATACAAGCCAGAAGAGATTGGGGGCCAATACTCAATATTCTCAAAGAAAATTTTCAACCCAGAATTTCATATCTAGCCAAATTATGCTTCACAAGCAAAGGAGAAATAAAATCCTTTGCAGACAAGCAAATGCTGAGAGATTTTGTCACCACCACTCCTGGCTTACAAGAGTTCCTGAAGGAAGCACTAAACATGGAAAGGAACAACTGGTACCAGCAACTGCAAAAACATACCAAATTGTAAAGATCATTGATGCTATGAAGAAACTGCATCAACTAATGGGCAAAATAACTAGTTAGCATCATAATGGCACGATCAAATTCACACATATCAATATTAACTTTAAATGTAAATGGACTAATTGCCCCAATTAAAAGACACAGACTGGCAAATTGGATAAAGAGTCAAGACCAATTGGTGTGCTATATTCAGGAGACCCATCTCATGTGCAAAGACACTCATAGCCTCAAAATAAAGGGATGGAGGAATATCTACCAAGCAAATGGAAAGCAAAAAAAAAGCAGAGGTTGCAATTGTAGTCTCTGATAAAACAGACTTTAAACCAACAAAGATCAAAAGAGACAAAGAATAGCATTACATAATGGTAAAGGGATTAATGCAACAAGAAGAGCTAACTATCCTAAATGTATATGCACCCAATACAGGAGCACCCAGATTCATAAAGCAAGTTCTTTGAGATGCACAAAGAGACTTAGACTCCCACACAATAATAATGGGAGACTTTAACACCCCACTGTCAACATCAGATCGACGAGACAGAAAATTAACAAGGATATCCAGGACTTGAACTCAGCTTTGGACCAAGCAGACCTAATAGACATCTGTAGAACTCTTCACCTCAGATCAACAGAATATACATTCTTCTCAGCACCACATCGCACTCATTCTAAAATTGACCACATAATTGGAAGTAAAACACTCCTCAGCAAATGCAAAAGAATGGAAATCATAAGTCTCTCAGACCACATTGCAATCAAACTAGAACTCAGGATTAAGAAACTCACTTAAAACTGCACAACTACATGGAAACTGAACAACCTGCTCCTGAATGACTACTGGGTAAATAACAAAATGAAGGCAGAAATACAGATGTTCTTTGGGGATGGGTGTAGTGGCTCACGCCTGTACTTCAGGAGGCTGAGGCAGGTGGATCACGAGGTCAGGAGTTCAAGACCAGCCTCGCCAAGATGGTGAAACCCCGCCTCTACTAAAAATACAAAAATTAGCCAGGTGTGGTGGCAGGTGCCTGTAATCCCAACTACTTGGGAGGCTGAGGAAGATAATTGCTTGAACCCAGGAGGCAGAGGTTGCAGTGAGCAGAGATCACACCACTGCACATCAGCCTGGGTGACAGATTGAGACTTTGTCTCAAAAAAAAAAAAAAAAAAAATTGAAACCAGTGAGAACAAAGACACAATGTACCAGAATCTCTGGGACACATTTAAAGCAATGTGTAGAGGGAAATTTATAGCACTAAATGCCCACAAGAGAAAGCAGGAAAGATCTAAAATTGACACCCTAACATCACGATTAAAAGAACTAGAGAAGCAAATGCAAACAAATTCAAAAGCTAGCAGAAGACAAGAAATAATCAAGATCAGAGCAGAACTGAAGGAGATAGAGGCATGAAAAACCCTTCAAAAAAATCAATGAATCCAGGAGCTGGTTTTTTGAAAAGATAAAAAAAATAGATAGACCGCTAGCCAGACTAATAAAGAAGAAAGAGAGAAGAATCAAACAGATGCAATACAAAATGATAAAGGGGATATCACCACCAATCCCACAGAAATACAAACTACCATCAGAGAATACTATAAACACCTCTACGCAAATACACTAGAAAATCTATAAGAAATGGATAAATTCCTGGACACCTACACCCTCCCAAGGCCAAACCAGGAAGAAGTCGAATCCCTGAAGAGACCAATAACAAGTTCTGAAATTGAGGCAGCAATTAATAGCCTAGCAACCAAAAAAAGTCCAGGACCAGACGGATTCACAGCCGAATTCTACCAGAGGTACAAATAGGAGTTGGTACCATTCCTTCTGAAACTATTCCAAACAATAGGAAAGGAGAGAATCCTCCCTAACTCATTTTATGAGACCAGCATCATCCTGATACCAAAGCCTGGCAGAGATACAACAAAAAAAGAAACTCTCAGGCCAATATCCCTGATGAACATCGATGCGAAAATCCTCAATAAAATACTGGCAAACCAAATCCAGCAGCACATCAAAAAGCTTATCCACCACGATCAAGTTGGCTTCATCTCTGGGATGCAAGGCTGGTTCAACATGCACAAATCAATAAATGTAATCCATCACATAAACAGAACCAATGACAAAACCACATCATTATCTCAATAGATACAGAAAAGGCCTTTGATAAAATTCAACACCCCTTGATGCTAAAAACTCTCAATAAACTATTGATGGAATGTATTTCAAAGTAATAAGAGCTATTTATGACAAACCCACAGCCAGTATCATACTGAATGGGCAAAAACTGGAAGCATTCCCTTTGAAAACTGGCACAAGACAAGGATGCCCTCTCTCACCACTCCTATTCAACATAGTATTGGAAGTTCTGGCCAGGCAACCAGCCAAGAGAAAGAAAGAAAGGGTATTAAGAAAAGAGGAAGTCAAATTGTCTCTGTTTGCAGATGACATGATTGTATATTTAGAAAACCCCATCATCTCAGCCCAAAATCTCCTTATGCTGATAAGCAACTTCAGCAAAGTCTCAGAATACAAAATCAATGTGCAAAAATCACAAGCGGCCGGGCGCGGTGGCTCACGCCTGTAATCCCAGCACTTTGGGAGGCCGAGGCGGGCGGATCACGAGGTCAGGAGATCGAGACCATCCCGGCTAAAGCGGTGAAACCCCGTCTCTACTAAAAATACAAAAAAATTAGCCGGGCGTAGTGGCGGGCGCCTGTAGTCCCAGCTACTTGGGAGGCTGAGGCAGGAGAATGGCGTGAACCCGGGAGGCGGAGCTTGCAGTGAGCCGAGATCCTGCCACTGCACTCCAGCCTGGGCGACAGCGCGAGACTCCGTCTCAAAAAAAAAAAAAAAAAAAAAAAATCACAAGCATTCCTATACACCAATAACAGAGAGCCAAATCATGAGTGAACTCTCATTCACAATTGCTACAAAGAGAATAAAATGCCTAGGAATACAACTTACAAGGGATGTGAAGGACCTCTTCAAAGAGAACTACAAACCACTGCTCAAGGAAATAAGAGAGAGCACAAACAAATGGAAAAACATTCCATGCTCGTGGATAGGAAAAATCAATATTGTGAAAATGGCCATACTGCCCAAAGTAATTTATAGATTCAATGCTATCCCCATCAAGCTACCATTGACTTTCTTCACAGAACTGGAAAAAACTACTTTAAATTTCATATGGAACCAAAAAAGGGCCCACATAGCCAAGACAATCCTAAGTAGAAAGAACAAAGCTGGAGGCATCATGCTACCTGACTTCAAACTATACTACAAAGCTACAGTAACCAAAACAGCATGGTACTGGCACCAAAACAGATATATAGACCAATGGAACAGAACAGAGGCCTCAGAAATAAGACACCATACATCTACAACCATCTGATCTTTGACAAACCTGACAGAAACGAGCAATGGGGAAAGGATTCCCTATTTAATAAATGGCGTTGGGAAAACTGGCTAGCCATATGCAGGAAGCTGAAACTGGATCCCTTCCTTACACCTTATACAAAAATTAACTCAAGATGGATTAAAGACTTAAACATAAGACCTAAAACCATAAAAACCCTAGAAGAAAACCTAGGCAATACCATTCAGGACATAGGCATGGGCAAAGACTTCATAACGAAAATACTGAAAGCAATGGCAACAAAAGCCAAAATTGACAAATGGGATCTAATTATACTAAAGAGCTTCTGCACAGCAAAAGAAACTATCATCAGAGTGAAGAAGCAGCCTACAGAATGGGAGAAAATTTTTGCAATCTGTCCACCTGATAAAGAATCTACAAAGAACTTAAACAAATTTACAAGAAAAAAAACAAACAACCCCATAAAAAAGTGGGCAAAGGACATGAACAGACACTTCTCAAAAGAAGACATTTATGCAGCCAACAAACATATGAAAAAAAGCTCATCATCACTGGTCATTAGAGAAATGCAAATCAAAACCACAATGAGATACCATCTCATGCCAGTTGGAATGGCAATCATTAAAAAGTCAGGAAACAACAGATGCTGGAGAGGATGTGGAGAAATAGGAATGCTTTTACACTGTTGGTGGGGGTGTTAATTAGTTCAACCATTGTGGAAGATAGTGTGGTGATTCCTTAAGGATCTAGAACTAGAAATACCATTTGACCCAGCAATCCCATTACTGGGTATATACCCAAAGGATTATAAGTCATGCTACTATAAAGACATATGCACACATATGTTTATTGCAGCACTGTTCACAATAGCAAAGACTTGGAACCAACCCAAATGCCCATCAGCGATAGACTGGATAAAGAAAATATGGCACATATACACCATGGAATACTATGCAGCCATAAAAAAGGATGAGTTCATGTCCTTTTCAGGGACATGGATGAAGCTGGAAATGATCATTCTCAGAAAACTAACACAAGAACAGAAAACCAAACACCGCATGTTCTCACTCATAAGTAGGAGTTGAACAATGAGAACACATGGACACAGGGAGGGGAACATCACACAACAGGGCCTGTTGTTGGGTGGGGGGCTAGGGGAGGGATAGCATTAGGAGAAATGCCTAATGTAGATGTCGGGTTGATGGGTGCAGCAAACCACCATGGCACATGCATACCTATGTAACAAACCTGCACGTTGTTGGGTATGTGTATACCCCAGAACTTAAAGTATCATAACAAAGAAAAAGGAAAGCTAAAAATAAAAAATAAAAAAAAGGGCTCCCCTCTTTCCTGGGCACTCATTCTTCTCCTTCCTGCTGCCTTGTGAAGAAGGATGTGTTTGCTTCCCCTTCTACCATGACTGTAAGTTTCCTGTGGCCTCCCCAGTTCTGTGGAACTGTGAGTCAATTAAACTTCTTTTCTTTATAAATTACCCAGTCTTGGGCAGTTCTTTATAGCAACATGAGAGTGGACTAATAGAATGGGCATCTTATTTTTTGGCTTAACTTCTTAGGCAGGGGAATTGCTGATCTGCTCCTTGTGCTTATTTGAAGTGGGGTAAAACATAATCAGAGGGTGCAGTAAGTAGGGTAATTCCCCCCATTGGGCTGGGCAAGGTGGTTCATGCCTGTAATCCCAGTGCTTTGGGAGGCCAAGGCGGGTAGGATTGCTTTCAGCCAGGAGTTTGAGACCAACCTGGGCAAAATAGCAAGACTTTGTCTCTACAAAAGTAAAAATTAGCTGGGTGTGGTGGTGCATACCCATAGTCCCCACTACTCGGGAGGCTGAAGCAAGAGGATTGCTTGAGCCCAGGAGGTCAAGGCTGCAGTGAGCTATGATTGTGCCACTGCACTCCAGTCTGGGCGGCACCCTGTCTCTAAACAAAACAAAACAGAAAAAGCCCATGCTTCCCTTAGCCCCAAATATGCCTATGTAGTAATCCCAGAAACCTGTGGATATGTTACCCTACATGGCAAAAGGGACCTTGCAGATATGATTAAGGCTAAGGACCTTGAGACAGGGGATTATCCTGGATTATCCAGTAGGGCCTAATCTAATCATACATGTCCTTAAAATCTGAGAAAGTTTCTTGGCTGCCATCAGAGATAGGATGACTCGGATAAGGGAAGACAGGCAGGAGAAATTAGAAGTGTTAAAAGGGTTCCACTTGCCATTGTGGGCTTGGCTTTGAAGATGAAAGAGGGTGCCATGATCCAAAGAATGCAGGTGGCCTCTTGAAGCTGGGAACAGAAATACACAGATTCTCTCCTAAAGCCTCTAGAAGAAAACACAGCCCAGCCAATACCTTGATTTTAGCCCTGTGAGATCTTGCTCAACTCTGACATAGAGAACTGTAGGATAGCTTTTTTTGTGTGTTGTTACAAGCAATTAAATTTGTGGTAATTTATAATAGCAACAATAGGAATCTAAACAAAGACACTGGGTTGGAGAGAGGGTTGAGCAGTTTGGCCCAGTAAAACTGCATGAGTTATTTATGGGTTGAGTGGACATTTTGGAATGCAGCCTGATATGGTTTGGCTCTGTGTCCCCACCCAAATCTCATTTTGAATTGTACTCCCATAATTCCCACATGTTGTGGGAGGGACCCAGTTGGAGATAATTGAAGCATTGGGGCAGTTTCCCCCATATTGTTCTCGTGGTAGTGAATAAGTCTCATGAGATCTGGTGGTTTTATCAGGGGTTTCCACTTTTGCATCTTTCTCATGCTCTCTTTGCCTGCTCTGCCATTCACGTAAGGTGGGACTTACTCCTCCTTGCTTTCTGCACAACTGTGAGGCTTCCCAAGTCACATGGAACTGTAAGTCCAATTAAACTTCTTTCTTTTGTAAATTGCCCAGTCTTGAATATGTCTTTATCAGCAGCATGAAAACAGACTAATACAGTAAATTGGTACCAGTAGAGTGGGGCACTGCTGAAAAGATACCTGAGAATGTGGAAGCAACTTTGGAATTGGGTAACAGGCAGGGGTTGGAATAGTTTGGAGGGCTCAGAAGAAGACAGGAAAATGTGGGAAAGTTTGGAACTTCCTACAGACTCGTTGAATGGCTTTGCCTAAAATGCTGACAGGAATATGGACAATGTAATCCAGGTTGAGGTGGTCTCAGATAGAGATGAGGTACTAGTTGGGAACTGGAGCAGAGGTGACTCTTATTATGTTTTAGCAAAGAGACTAGTGGCATTTTACCCTGGCCCTAGAAATTTGTGGGATTTTGAACTTGAGAGAGATGATTTAGGGTACCTGGCAGAAGAAATTTCTAAGCAGCAAAGTGTTCAAGAGGTGACCTGGATGTTGTTAAAAGCATTCAGTTTTATAAGGGAAGCAGAGCATAAAAGTTCAGAAAATTCACGGCCTGACAATTTGATAGAAAAGAAAAACCTATTTCCTGAGGAGAAATTCAAGCTGGCTGTATAAATTTGCATAAGTAACAAGGAGTGGAATGTTAATCTCCAAGACAATGGGGAAATGTCTTCAGGGCATGTCAGAGGTCTTCACAGCAGCCCCTCCTGTCACAGGTCAGGAGGCCTAGGAGGAAAAAGTGGTCTTGCGGGCTGGGTCCAGGGTCCCTGTGCTGTGTGCAGCCTAGGGATTTGGTGCCCTGCATCCCAGCCATTCCAGTCGTGGCTGAAAGGGATGAATGTAGAGCTTGGGCCATGGCTTTAGAGGATGCAAGCCTCAAGCCTTGGCAGCTTCCATGGGGTCTTGAGCCTGCGAGTGCACAGCAATCAAGAATTGAGGTTTGGGAACCTCTGCCTAGATTTCAGAAGATGTATGGAAATGCTTGGATGTCCAGGCAGAAGTTTGCTGCAGGGATGATGCTCTCATGGAGAACTTCTGCTAAGGCAGTGCAGAAGGGAAATGTGGGGTCAGAGCCCCCACACAGAGTCTGCACTGGTACACTGCCTAGTGGAGCTGTGAGAAGAGGGCCACTGTTCTCCAGACCCCAGAATGGTAGATCCACTAATGGCTTGCACTGTGCACCTGGAAAAGCCACAGACACTCAATGCCAGCCTGTGAAAGCAGTCAGAAGTGTGGCTATACCCTGCAGAGTCACAGGTGCGGAGCTGCCCAAGGCCATGGGAGGCCACCTCTTGCATCAGTGTGAACTGGATGTGAGACAAGGAGTCAAAGGAGATCATTTTGGAGCTTTAAGATTTGACTGCCCTGCTGGATTTTGGACTTGCATGGGTCCTGTAGCCCCTTCATTTTGGCCAATTTCTCCCATTTGAAATGGCTGGATTTTCCCAATGCCTGTACCCCCATTGTACCTAGGAAGTAACTAACTTGCTTTTGATTTACAGACTCATAGGCAGAAGGGACTTACCTTGTCTTGGATGAGACTCTGGACTGTGGACTTTTGAGTTAATGCTGAGATGAGTTAAGACTTTAGGGGACTGTTGGGAAGGGATGATTGGTTTTGAAATGTGAGGACATGAGATTTGGCAGGGGCCAGGGGCAGAATGATATGGTTTGGCTCTGTGTCCCCACCCAAATCTCATCTTGAATTGTACTTCTATAATTCCCATATGTTGTGGGAGGGACCCGGGGGGAAATAATTGAATCTTGGGGGTGGTTTCCCCCATACTGTTCTCGTGGTAGTGAATAAGTCTCACAAGATCTGATGCTTTTATCAGGGGTTTTTGCTTTTGCGTCTTCCTCATTTTCTCTTTGCCTGCTACCATCCATGTAAGATGGGACTTGCTCCTCCTTGCCTTCCTCCACGGTTTTGAGGCTTCCCCAGCCACGTGGAACTGTAAATCCAATTAAACCTCTTTCTTTTGTAAATTGCCCAGTTTTGATATGTCTTTATTAGCAGTGTGAAAACGGACAAATATATGGCCAGGATTGAGCCATTCTGTCAAGATCCATCCAAGCAGCTGGCTGCAGGGGAAGAAAGCTTAACAGCAAAAGCCTTTGAGATGGTTCTCCAAGGGTGGTGGTTGAGGGGAATCAGAGGAGGTCAAGTTGAGCCACTCTTGGGGATGTCTAGTGGACAGCCTCCCTGCCTGTGGGGTCTCCTGAAGGGCTCATGCGTGGATTCCAAGATCAGTTTAGGAGCTACCACATAGAGATTCTTACCAGAGACAGCAAAGACAGGGCCACATGAGAGCCATTAGCCACCCATATCAGTTAGATAGGCTAGACTATGCTAAGTAACAAAGTCCCCAAATTTTTGTGCCTTATGACAATACAGAAATCTTTCTTGTTCATTCTTCATGTCTGTCTCTACTCATCCTAGTGGAATACATGCTCACATGGCATTTACTATTATCAAGTCCCATGGCTCCACCTAACTTCAAGGGGACAGAAAACTATAACCCTACTATGTGCCTGGAAGGGCAAAAGAGCAGGCTGTGGCCCCTCCCTCATGGCAAGATTCTCAGGCTGATTCCAGGCTGGCCTGAGAGGAAGAGGAGGATGAAATTAGACATGCAATTGCAATTTGAAGCCAGACTAGACTTTCATTTTAAATATTGAAAATGAAAGGAGTCTGGGGGCTCTTCCTGCAATGTGATTACAAACTAGGAAATCAAGATTCATCAGGGCATGGATGAAGGCAGTGCTTAGAAAGGAATAAAGTTAGCTGGGTGTGGTGGCTCACGCCTGTAATCTCAGCACTTTGGGAGGCCAAGGCAGGTGAATCACCTGAGGTCAGAAGTTCAAGACCAGCCTGACCAACAAGGTGAAACCCCATCTCTACTAAAAAGCAAAAATTAGCTGGGTGTGGTGGCACACACCTGTAGTCCCAGCTACTCAGGAGGCTGAGGCAGAAGAATCACTTGAACCTAGTAGGCAGAGGTTGCAGTGAGGTGAGATTGCACCACTTTACTCCAGCCTGGGTGACAGAGCAAGACTCTGACTCACAAAAAAAAAAAAAAAAAAAAAAGAAATAAAATTGTTTTTTATGTGTGGCTTGCTAATTTCAGACTCTATTAAACCAACTGCCCTTGCATTTAATCTTCAAAACAATCCTTTGAATTAGTAATTATTATTACCTTCTTTTTACCTATGACAAAACTGAGACTCAGAGAGATTAAGCAATATGACCAATGGCACACAGCTGACGGAGCTAGTCAGAATTCAAATCTAGATTTGTGTGACTCCAAGCATGCACATTCCGTTTTTTTTTTGAGGCAGTATCTCACTCCATTGCTCAGGCTGGAGTGCAGTGGTGCAATTGTGGCTCGCTGCAGCCTCGGCCTCCTGGGCTCAGGTGATCCTCCCACCCCAGCATCCCAAGTAGCTGGGACTATAGATGTGCCCCACCATGCTAGGTTAATTAATTAATTAATTAATTATTTTGGTAGAGATGGTGTATTAGTCCATTTTCATGCTGCTGATAAAGACATACCTGAGACGAGACTGAAGAAAAAAAGGTTTAATTGGACTTACAGTTCCACATTGCTGGGGAGGCCTTAGACTCATGGCAGGAGGTGAAAGGCACTTTTTACATGGTGGTGGCAAGAGAAAATGAAGAAGACACAAAAGCAGAAACCCCTGATAAAAGCATCAGATCTCATGAGACTTATCCACTACCACAAGAATAGTATGGGGGAAACCACCCCCATGATTCAAATTATCTCCCACCAGGTCCCTCCCACAACATGTGGAAATTAGGGGAGTACAATTCAAGATGAGATTTGGGTGGGGACACAGAGCCAAGCCATATCAGATGGGGTTTTGCCATGTTGCCCAGGCTTGTCTTGAAGTCCTGAGCTCAAGTGATCCTTCTGCCTTGACCTCCAAAGTGCTGGGATTACAGGCATGAGCCGCCATGCCTGGCCCAGGTATGCACTTTAAAAGCCATCCTTGCTATCTTGTGCCATTTTCCTGATAGAAGTCACCCTTCTAAAGTGGACAAGGTAAGACATATTTACATTGTTATCCCTTTGTGGGTAAGAGAATAAAATTAGGAAGATCCTCAGGATGTAGCAAAAGGGCACTTACTATGTGCCAGGCCCCACTAGGCACTTGGCATGCATTTATATCTCATTTAACTCCTAGGGCTACTCTATGAGGTAAGCAATTCCATTCCAATTTTGTGGATGAGTCAAACTGAGGCATCAAGAGATAATGTGACTTGCCAAGGTCAAGCAACTAATAGGCGAGATTTGAACCCAGATCTGTCTGTTTTTCAAAAGTCTCCACCCAGCTACAATTCCCCATTGAAAAAGTTTTGGAGGAGTTACAGGAGGGAGAGGCCATTGTTGGGTGGAATAGTCTTGAGGAGGGACTCCAGTATGAGGGGATGTCCTGGAAGCAAGGAGGGTGGCAAGCAAAGGTGCTGAGATGAGAGTGCACACAAAGGGCTCAAGGACAAAGAGTAGGCAGAGCTGATTGTCACTGAGAATGTGTAAGAACAGTGGGGGCAAGATAAAAGGCAGGTTGGAGCCAGATGGGGAGTTGTCAGGCATGTAGGCTGAGGAGTTTGACTGTGCTCTCTCAGGCCATGGGGGAACATTTGGAGTGGGATTTGTAATGCTGATGAGAGGAAATAGGAAGCCTGGGAGTCTGCAGTTCCTAGAGCTACCATTAAGCGTTAGTGCTGGGGCTGTCTGCCCATAGAGTCGTTATCCCCTTAGCAGGTGGGAAATAGGAAGGGTCTAGTTTAGGCAGAAACATCCCTCAAGAGAAAGGCATGTCAGGGTTGGTGGAGACAGTGGGAGAAGGTTCCAGATGCAGCAGGACAGACCCTGGAAGGCAGGGAGGCAGGGGGGTGGCATAGGGCAGCAGAAAGAATGCATCTCTGGCTCATGGCAGATCTTGTTCAGTTCTCAGCTTAGTCTCTGTGAATAAAAGTTATCTGAAAATAAATTTGGAGGAAAGAGACTTTATTCCAGTCAACGTTTGCAAACCAGGGAGAAGCAGCCTTCAGTGTAAAACGAAGGTGCATTCCAGAGAACAAAGAGAGGGTCTGAGCATTTGTTTTTTCTTTTGAGACAAGGTCTTGCTCTGTCACCTGGGCTGGAGTGCAGTGGCGTGATCATGGCTCACTGCAGCCTCGAACTTCTGTGCTCAAGTGATTCTCCCACTTCAGCCTCCTGAGTAGCTGGGACTACAGGCACATGTCACCATGCCTGGTTAATTTTTGTATTTTTTGTAGAGATGGGGTGTTGCTATATTGCCCAGGCTGGTCTCAAACTGCTGAGCTCAAGCGATCCATCTGCCTCAGCCTCCCAAAGTGCTGGGACTATAGGTGTGAGCCACTGCACCAGGCCAGGGTTTGAGTTTTATAGCAAAATTTCCAGCCCAGGTTTCTTTATGCAAATGAAGAATTCAAACTTGCTTAGTTCTAATTGGTTGACACAGCTGAGTTCTATTGGTCAATACAGCTGAGCCCTGGTTAGCTGAGGTAGGTGAGCTCCGATTGTTTCTGAGTTCAGGTGAACTCAGAAAGTTAAAAAGTTGTGGGTTTTTGGAGAACTCAGAGTATGTGACCTCTAGTCAGCAAATGGCCACGTGGCTCTGTTTTAAATTTAGGCCCAGTTAGCCTCTTGGGATCTATCTTTAAGGATTTGCTCTTTCAGGTTCACATTTGTTCACGTCTTTTACCACCTGTATGACCCTGGGCATGGAATTTTGCTTTTCTGACACTAAAATTAAATGGTAGAACTGCAAATTTCCTCAAACCATACTTTAATATGCTGCAACATGTAGCCCCTCTAGTTTATCATACTTTCCTTTTGAGCCCCTTTTCTATAGGCGAACAGGGACACTTAACATGCCAATTGAGTGTCTACCAGTCTATCTAGTCTCTTTCAGTGAAAATGTTTCCACTCTGGCTTTTCTATCTTCGTATCAGGGCTGGCTCAAATAGTTCTTTTGGGATTACTCAATGACTCTTTAAGTAAAAGCTCCATCTTTCAGAGTTTTGCTCTTTTGCCTTCTCCTCTCCAAGATGGTGCCTGGGTATTTAAGGGGTTTACTGTAACCACAAGACAGCAGGGAGAGGAGCCTCAGGTCCACACTGTGTCCTCCATATCCAGGGCTAGTCCAGTCTGCTCCCTGGACTGTAGGCCACTAAGGCATGACAGGCCTCTTCTTGCCTCCTTGGTGATGGGCTGCTGGTGGCATCTATGATTTTGGCCATTTGTCCTCAAGTCACAAGGTTCCTACCCATGGTGGCCTCTTTCTTTGATCTCAGGCCTCTGTCCTCTTGGTACTTTGATGTGCTCTCCTGATGGAGGGTCAGGGGTGCTGCCACAGGCTCATTCATCAGACCATTTCCTGCAGTCTTACTGTGCCATCACCCTCTGCCATGTTGGAAATGAGTGGATTTTCTTGTAGGCTCACAGACTCTTGCTAATAGACATGGGAAGTAGGTCTTTAGTTTTTCGGATGGCCTTGGCTTTCCTCTCAATCTATCTAATGTATCTCCTTGAGGTGAAACACAGCTTGGAGAGGAAAGGTAAAACACATTCACATCACCTCCAGCTTCCCCTCCCTCCACCCATCTTTTCCTTTCCATAACCCCTTGAACATGAAGGGATGAACACCCTGGCTTTACTTTGCAGAAGTACCTTATTCCAGGCCATGTGGTTCTTGGGTGCTGACTCCATGTCTGAGTTCCAGGGACAGACAGGTAAATCAGTCCTGTCTAATCAGATTATCCCGTTCTGGCTAGTGACTGGTCCAGGGATGAACATGTGACCCACATCTGTGCAATGATAGGCATCTCTGAGAACTTATTAGACCTTTATAACAGAGAAGCTCTCTTTTTCTTGAATTGGGATGTGATTTACATAGTGTGAAAATGTATAGATCTTTAGAGTTCCGTGTAAAGAATTTTGACAAATGTATACACATTTGTGTAATCAACACCCAAACAAAGATATAGATCCTTTTCATCACCCTAAGAAATTCCAACAGGCTCTTTTCCAGTTTATGCCAGAAAGTTCCCTCTGTCTCTTCCTGGTCAATGCCACCCTCTCCCTAACACACATACACCAGAGGCAACCACTATTCTGATATTTATCACTATAGATTATTTTCCTTGTTCTAGAACTTTTCATTCTCTGCTGTTTATTTATTTGTATGTTCTTAATCAAATATCACACTGACCTGATTTCTATAGTTTTATAGTAAGTCTCCAAGCCAGACAGTATACATTTCCTAATTTTTAAAAAATTGTTTACCATGTAGGTTCTTTATATTTTTATATAAACATTAGATTCTCAGAAAGCATTCTGGGATTTTGGTTGGTATCTGATTGAATCTATAGATTAATTTGGAGAAAGCTGACATCTTATCCATACTGAGTCTTCCATTCCATGTATATGGTATATCTATCCATTTATTTAGTTATTCTTTAACTCCTCTCAGTAATAATTCATTGTTTTCAGTGAAGAGGTCTTTTATTATGTTCATTCCAAAGTATTTTATATGTTTTGGTGCTACTGTAAAAAGTATTTTAAAGAAATTTCTTTTTTTTTTTTTTGGAGACAGTCTCGCTCTGTCACCCAGGCTGGAGTGTAGTGGTGTGATCTCTGCTCACTGCAACCACTGCCTCCCAGGTTCTAGAGATTCTCCTGCCCCAGCCTCCCAAGTAGCTGGGATTACAGGCACATGCCACCACACCCAGCTTATTTTTGTATTTTTAGTGGAGATGGGGTTTCACTATGTTGGCCAGGCTGGTATCAAACTCCTGACCTCAGGTGATCCACCTGCCTCAGCCTCCCAGAGTGCTGGGATTATAGGTGTGAGCCACTGTGCCTGGAGGAAATTTAATTTTTAATTTTTTTTTTTTACTAGTGTAGAAGTTCTCTTTTTAGAGTTTGCTAAGCTGGTGAAAAGTAAGCCAGGCAAGAGCCACCATAGGGAGGCTGTATCCCTGAGAATGAATTCAAAACAGAGGGGAGCAGAGCTGAAAAATGGAGGGGAGGGAGAGACAGAGAGAGAGAGAGATAGTTGAGGGAGAGAAAGAGGCTTGAAGAAAGGGTTTGAACTCCTATATTCAATTCTGAGTGAACTTAGGTCTACCCTGGACTTTACTGGAGACAATACATTTTATTTGCTAAAGTCGTTTTGAGCTGGATTCCTGTCACTTGCAGCTGAAAGAGTCTTGACTAATCCCATGTCTGAGTTGGCCCAGCCTTGAAGGCTAGTGTGTATGTATGAGTGAGTTTCATGCCAATGAGGAAAAGAAAAAAAACATGGTTCACTAATTCTTATTTCTTTTTCCCACGAGTGAGAATTGTTGACTTGCTAGTTTCCTTACTAGGTGACTATTAAGAACTAAATGTTTGTATCTTCCAAATTCCTACCCCCATTGTGATGGTATTTGTAAAGAGGCCTTTGGGAGGTAACTAGTGTTAGGCCTTAATGATGAAACCAGCCCTTATAAGAAGAGATATCAGAAAGATCAGAGAGCTTATTCTCTCCCTTCTCTCCTTTGCACCCTCCCCTTCTCCCGCAATTTCATGCACAAGCACTGAGGAAAACCATGTGAACACACAGTGAGAAGGCAGCCATCTGCAAGCCTGGGAGAGATCCCGCTCCTGACCATGCTGGCATCCTGATCTTGGACTTTCAGCCTCCAGAACTGTGCGAAAATAAATTTCTGTTGTTAAGTCACCCAGTCTATTTTATTATGGCAGCTCGAGGAGACTAATAGAGTGACCTGTTAAGTGAGCCCACTACTCAAAAGCTTTCCTTCCTTCTTTTCCCTCCATCCCTTCCTCACTCGCTTCCTTCCTTCCTTCCCCCTCCCTTCCTTCCTTCCCCTACCCTTCCTTCCTCTCTCCCTCCTTCCCTCCCTCTTTCTCTTTCCTTTTTTAGAGAAGCACTATCTAAACCTATATGGAAGAAAAAATTTGTCCCTATTAGCAGGATTATGGTCCTGCCCTTTAAAAGACAACAGATCTCCACAGTTTTGCTGAAGAACACGGGATCTGTTCTTGCTTCTTTTGGGTCTACGGCATCACAGATAGCACACTAGCTTTTGATGGTTCCTTTCCCTGCAACTAGGGCAATGTCACTGCCTCTCACTAAAATGTTTTAGCTTACTCTCTTTCTCTGATGAATATAAGAACTAGGGGGTAGGAGTAGGGACTGTGTTTATGGGAAGCACTTGACATTTTCTGCAATGTAGTTTAGTCATTTATCTGTTCAACCATCCATCCTATTAGCACTGGGCTTTTATTGGGAAGAAAGATAACATATGTATTGGGTGTATTTCATACACGTTATCTCACTTGATTCTTATTGCAACCCTTTGAGATAGACATTGTTATTACCCCATTTTACAGATGAGAAAGCTAGAGTTTAGAGAGTTTAAGCCACTCATAGATCCAGACAATGACAGTATGATGAAGCTGACATTCACACCCCAATGCCTGTGCTCTATCTTGAGACTCCATCTTGATTTTCCGTCTGCAGGGTCTATGCTAAGCAGTGCAGGTGAGGTAAGAGGGTTAGCAGGTGCCTGGGTGTGAACCTTGTCATCAAACCCAGCAGTCTATTAGAGCTGCTGAGACAGTGAGAGAATAACTGTAATACAAAATAGAAAGCAGGAGTATCTTAATGTAGTGATACCAATCTTCAGGATTCTGGAACAAAAAAGAAAAAGAAAAAGAAAAGAAAATCAGAACTCCAAGGGATTCTTGGCAATTTTTAAAATCATAAGTTATTCTTAAGATACTAACATTCTTTATTCTGTCTGCTCATTATTATGTATAGCTACAGTTTTGTTTAAGAAATAAGAAATATGAAGTTAGTAGAGTAGAACTGTAGCCCATAGTGGATATTAAACCATGGGAAAATGCCAGGGAACATTACTGGACAGTATTTAAATAATGTAACATCGAGATCTCCTAGCAAGGTTAACAGTACCATGCAGAATCATATATCAAAATTATGAATTTAGGGACTTCTCTTTTGTTTCCAAAACTTATTTCTTGGAACACCACTCATAGAATTTGTGTAAAGTATACTATGCATACGAACATGTTAATATTATTTTATTTGCAAGAATAACTCATTGATCACAGCAAAAAGAGCAACAAACACACAACAATAACATGACGACAGTTACATGTAAGATTGACTGATGTCAGACTTGATCCTCAACTCTGGATGTCAGCGTTTCCTATTTTTGGGAGTGGCTCGACATCAGTGAATTCCTTTGAACCAGTAATGTCTTTGAACTGATAAGCTCTAATTCTCACAGGAAAATTATGATATTTCTCTTGTTTTCTCAATTTTTCTCAGGGAATTGAGATTTGGAAAACATTTAGACTTCCTGAGAAATTTAAGTTTAGAAAGGAAATTTAAATTTAGAAAAGAATTTCTGAGTGGATACACTAGTCTGAAGGGAGGTGAAGATATGAGCTAAAGGATTTGGGGAAGGTAAATATAATTAGCAGCTGTAGGAATCCTAGTAGACTTCCGGTAGGAGCTGGCATTGGAGTTGGGCTGTGAAGGGTGGGCAGGATTTATGGATTGGAGGTGGGAGTAGGAGTAGGAGTAGGGAGGAAGGCATTCTGAGTGGAAGACGCAGCTTGAGCAAGAGAGACTGAGAAGTGGAAACTGGGGGATATACCGGGAAGGTAGATTCACCTCAAACAGTTTATGAAAGGGAGTGGTTGATGATAAGATCGAACAGGTACAGTAGGACTCAATCTTTGAGGGCTGGAGCAGAGCTCATATATCATTTGTACCACCCACCCTGCAAAGTAGGGCTGTCTGTTTCCATGTTATGACAAGGAAACAGAAGCTCACGAGTTAAGAAACTTGCTGAAGGTCTCAAAGGGAATAAAGGATATGAGTTAGGGAGTATGAACGCCAAAGAGCACATGTGATGTCTTGCTCAGCACAGACACTGAGAGTCTGTGGAATAAGATAGTCACTGGGGCTTTCTTAAATGTCTGTTGAGTTAAATTGATGTGTAGAAATTAGAGGGAGATAGATTTTGGTTCAGTATGAATAAACACGTTCAGGAAAAACAAACTTCAGTAACAAGTTGTTTTAACTTTTTTTTGTTATCTGTGTATCTGTCTAATGATCTGTGTATCTTTTATTTATTTCTTACTGATGCTGCGATTCGTAAGGAATGGTGGTTCCCTCTTTCTTTTGGCCACAAGGAAGCTTCATATCAAATTTGTAGCTCTATAGAATGGGATGGCTTACTTTTCTAACGTTAATCATGCTAGTCATATTCCTTGATTTATTTTGCTGTTCATTTTACCCCTTGGCGTTGGACACAACCATTCAAGCTGTCTCAAATTTGGATATAATTAACTAATTAATTGGGCACAGACTGAGAAATTCTAATAGTCAGATGTGTAAAATGGTATGTGCTGCCATGTGAAATCATGAGCTCACCATGAGCAGAGGTGTGTAAGAGGAGATTGGAAGAGCATTTGGCTCCAAGTTCCCTTCAGCTCCGAGATTTTCCGATTATAAAGAGTTGGAAATAGGTCACTGTTTCACTGCGCCCTCGAGCCATCCCCCAACAAACCTCACCCGAGTGCTGGTAAAAAAACATTCTCATCCTCTTACAGGCCCGAAGTCCTCTGGCCACACAGGCTAATGAGACTCTGGGACTTGGGGATCCAGGCTGCCCGGTACTGGGGCAACAGTGCAGTTGACATTAATAGCATGTGACTAGCAGTGGATTGATTAAACAGATGTTAAGGTTTTAGCTGATAATGATTCATTACTATTTGGGAGAAACCTGATAGGGATGCTCCCACTCTAAGAATTAATTAGTTTATGCTTCATCAGTCGTATTGAGCAGAGTGTAAACGGCCCTTCTGAGTACAGAGCTCTCCAGTTACAGGAATTACCATTCCTTCCACCCAGCAAGACATGGGAGCAGGGTGCTTCCTTCCATGGAGGAGCAGGCAGAAGGGGAGGGGAGTAGCAAGGAGATCAAGAGGCCTACATGCTTGATGCTTGCCCTCCAGGATCCATCTTGTTTTCCCCTCTGCCTATCATTTGGGGATGCTCTCATTTGCCACTCTCAATCCGTGCTACCATGGGGCTTCTCTCCAGCTCAAGCGAGGGGCCAGCATGTGACCAAGGCTGAGCTGGGCCAGTCATTGCACTGCATTAACTGGGCAATGGTGATTGGCTCAGTGATGTATATGTGAGACCCAATCAGATGCTCTGAGGCTCAATGAGACATTTGCTGGGAATTTAGGGAAAGCTGTTCTCTCACTTTTCCTGAAGGGGATGTAAGGCAGGAGCTGCAGCGGCTATTTTAATTCCAGCCTTGAAGCCATCGAGTCATTCCCAGCCTTTGAACCTCTTCAGCTGGTGCCACATGGAGCAGAGACAACTGTCCCCATCAAGACCTGTCCAAATTGCAGATTTGCAAGCAAAAATAAGACTCCTCCCTGCAACAGCCCCCCAGACAGTCTCACTGTCGCCCAGGCTGGAGTGCAGTGGTGCAATCTTTGTCCACTGCAGCCTTCCTCTCCTGGATTCAAGCGATTCTCATGCCTCAGCCTCCTGAGTAGCTGGGATTACAGGCCTGCGCCACCACACCCAGCTAATTTTTGTATTTCTAGTAGAGACAGGGTTTCGTCTTGTTGGCCAGGCTGGTCTCGAACTCCTGGCCTCAAATGATCTGCCTGTCTCAGCCTCCCAATGTGCTGGGGTTACAGGCATAAGCCACCACGCCTGGCCAAGACCATTGTTGTTTTGTTTTAAGCCACTGTTTGTGGTGATTTGTCACTCAGCAACTGGTAACTGGAACAGCTCATGTCTTATATTTTGGACTGTAGACGAATCTTTCCTTATTGCGAACCTGATCATCTTACTCTTCTGTTTAAAAAACTCTCACAAGCCTGTAGGTTAAAGGCCAACACTTTTGTGTGTTATTCACAATACCTTTCTGGATCTACCTCAGATCTCACTGCCTTTCCTTTCCTTTCAGGCATCCTGTCCTTCTGTTACACAGAACTGTTTGTAGTCTCCTAAACAGCTCGTGCTCTCTCAGGCCTCTGTGTCTTCGTGCATGCTGTTCCCTCTGTCTGAAATGCCTGTCCCATCACTGTCAGAAGACATCTCTCTGATGAAGTTCCTCTCTCGCCTTTTCTTTAGACTTCTTGGGTGAATCACTGGATTCTTTCCTCAATTGTTTTTGCACATATACTTTATGGAGAATTTCCTTGACTGTCTTCTAACCCTTATGGAAAATTTTATTTCAATAATCTTATTTTAAATTTCCAACAACTTTTTTCTTGTTCTGTTTTTCATCATACTTTGTACTTGTTTCATGTCTTATGTCTCTTGCTTCTTGAATTAAATATCCTCTTGAATCTCTCTGCTTTTCTTTCCTTTCCTTTTCTTTTTTTTTTGAGACAGAGCCTTGCTCTGTCACCTAGGCTGGAGTGCAGTGGCGTGATCTCGGCTCACCTCCACCTTCTGGGTTCAAGCCATTCTCATGTCTCAGACTCCCTATTAGTTGGGATTACAGGAATACACCACCATGCCCGGCTAATTTTTGTATTTTTGGTAGAGATGGGGTTTCGCCATGTTGGCCAGGCTTGTCTTGAACTTCCGACCTCAGGTGATCTGCCCACCTTAGACTCCCAAAGTGCTGAGATTACAGGCATGAGCCATCGTGCCTGGCCTCTCTCTGCTTTTCCATTTACTGAATTATCATAGCTTCTGACAGAGATTCTTTGCTTGACAAAATGTAGGTGTCTGAACTTTTTCTTAGGCCCATCTGTGTGCTTCCTTGCAAAGTTCTATTTTGGCAAAGAGCCTTGTGCTAAGTTAGTTTAGCAAGAATCCCTCACCCTTGATACTTGATCACTCATGAATCTGATAAAAAAAATCCTTGCTCCTTACCCAGGGTATCTGATTACCTGGACTGCCTTCAGCAGAAATCCTTTTAGAGTGTTTCAGCCAGAATTCTCCCACACTTGATGCCTCCTTAGTAATTTTCTGTTCACTGACCTCCTTCCTCCTTGGCTATAAATCTGCACTTGTCCTTGCTGTATTTGGAATGGAGCCTAGTTCTATTCTGGGGACTCTTTTCCCCAATTGCAATAGTACTGAATAAAATTTGCCTTTACCACTTTAACTTCTGTCTGGCTCTGCTTTTTAGAGATGCTTCCTCAAAGATCTGTTTTTCTGTCTCTTGGTCTCTTGCTTTTGGTGTTGGAGGCTTGCCTCAAATGGCTGAGGATCCTTAGCTGTCCATTTTGTGTATAAGAAAGAGGTGCTTGGGAGCTCTGAGGACATAGGGCTTGCAGGATTCCCCCTTGGAGGGTGAGCAGGAAATTACTAATACCATGGGAGAGTTTCAGTACCAGAAGGTGGAGGCCACAATACTCACATGAGCTGTCTTTTGCCTTCCCAGGTAGTTTATTCCAGTTCCTGAGAGCACACACTTCCTTCTCACATCCTTCCCTAACTGGATATGGAGGGAAAGGGAGGCACTCCTCATAAAAACTTCAATTTAACCCCCTCCCTTTTCACCCCCATTCTGCCCTCCCACCCTCCTTCTTACCTGGCAACTTTGAGTCTCAAACATCTCTGTGATGGGACATGGCAGGATGGCTTCCACACTGGCTGTAACCCCATTCCCATGTGTTCTAGGCTGCCTTTTCTTCCATCCTACGTCATCAATTTCTAATCAGTTTCTGTATTCAGTACATATGTGAAATCTTCTCTCCATTGATGTTCTATCCCTGTTCTCTTTGCTGTCTTGTGTTTATGCCTTTTAAATTCCCTCGCTGTCACTTTACAGGGGTGTCACTTTACAGGCAGAGGAGAGAGATGCCTGCTTTACTATAAGAACTGCAAACTCAAACTATGCTCTCTGCCTCCTTGGCCTGAAAAGGACCTTAGAGGCCACTGAGTCCATTTGAAATAGGGAAAACAAAGTTAGAGTGGGTCTAGCAACTAGCCAAAGAGGAATGTCCAAGCGGGGACAATGGTAGAGTATATTACTCGGAGGCCAGATGGGCTGGGCTTGAAGTCCTGGCTCCATCACTTACTACCCTTGAGAACTTGAGAGAATAATTAGCATGTCTGAGCCTCTTTTTCTCACCTATAAAATGGGAATAAAAATATAGACTTATCCTTCAAGCATCTGGAGAATCCTTCTCTTGTCTCTTTTGTTGCTGCTTTGCTGAGCTTTAAATCTGTTTTGAAAAATAGACTTTTTTCTTATTTGTGTTCTGGCTCCCATCAAAATGGTGAACTCCTGGAAGGCAAGGACTGTGGCTTAGTCATCTTTGTCCCCTCTATTAGGTTGGACAATTCCAACCTATTAGTGGAAACTCCAAGGATGTACCAGAGGGAAATGGGCAGAGACAGGTAGTGGTGGGCACCAACAGGCAGTCCTGGCAGGATTGTGTGCCTGTGGGCTCGTGTGGGATGTGGTAAGCAGGTGGCTGAGATGACAGGAATCTTTAGTGTAGCTGATTAGAAGGATGCTGGTGAGTGACCAAGATGAAGAAGATGGGAGGAGAGCAAGTCTGGGTGCTGGATCAGGTGTTAAGTTTGAGAAATGTGAAGTTTGAAGTGGGGCTCCCATGCAGATGCTCCATCAGACAGATGAAAGTGTGAAACTTGTGCATGGAAACAAATCTTGGATATCTCTCATATTGAGCTGATTGTTGGTCCCCAAGAAAAAGATGTGTTGCCTGAAAGGATGTGGAGATGGAAGATCAGAGAGCTAAGACAGAGTTTCAGGGAAAAGAGATATCTTTTGAAGATTTAGACAAGAATTGTAGCCCATGGAAAGAGGAGATTGCTTCAAGATAAAGCAGAGACCAGGAGAGGGCTATGTCTAGGAGCCTGTGAGTGGGGAATTTCAAGAATGAATGTTAATTGCTGACCAGGTATTTGTTGATATTAGAAAATTATTGTGAAATTTTTTTGGTTGTGATAATGGTATTGTGTTTACATTTTGTACAAAGTCCCAATCCTTTAGAAATATCTACAGAAGGATTTACAGAGGAAATGATGTGATGTTTGGCATTTGTTTTAAAATAAACTGCTGAGCTATCTATAAAAGACACACTTTAGATTCAAAAATACAAATAGGGTTAAAGTAAAAGGATGGAAAAATATACCATGGAAATAATAACCAGAAGAGAGCTGGAGCATCTATACTATTAGCAGATAAAATAGACTTTACAATGGGACTTGCTTCCAGAGGCAAAGAAGGACCTGCATAATGATGAAAGGGTCAGGCCATTATGAAGACATAACAATTGTAAAAATATGTGCATCTGACAACAGAGCCTCAAATACATGAAGCAAAAAGCTGACAGAATTGAAGGCAGAAAGACAATTCAACAATAATAGTTGAAGACTTCAATACCCCACCTTTAATAATGGATAGAACAACAAGGCAGAAGATCAACAGGGAAATAGAAGATTTAAGCAATGCTCTATACCAACTAGACCTAACAGATACCTATAGAATACCCAACAAAAGCAAAATATACATTCTTCTTAAGTAGTCATGGAACATTTTCCAGTTTAGACCATGCTATGCCATGAACCAAGTTTCAATGAACTTAAAATAGAAAATGGAAAAACAATAGAGAAAGTCAAGGAAACTAAAAATTGTTTCTTTAAAAAGAATAACAAAATTGTTAAGTCTTTAGCTAGACTGACTAAGAAGAAAAGAGAGGTATCAAGTGACTAAAATCAGGAGTAAGAAGAAAATGTAACTACTGGTCTTACATAAATAAATGGCTTATAAGGGAATACTATGAACAACTGTATGCCAACAAACTAGATAACCTCGGTAAAATGAACGAATTCCTAGATAGACACCAACTACAAAAACTGGCTCAAGAGAAATAGAAAATTTGAACAGACTTATAATGAGTAAAGAGACTGAATTAGTAATTAAACTTTCCACAAAAAAAATACCAGGGCCAGATGGCATCACTAGTGAATTCTACCAAATATTTAAAGAAAAATTAGTAACAATCACAAACTCTTAAAAATAGCAGCAGCAGAAGAAACACTTCCCAACACATTCTGTGAAGTCAGATACCATATTACCCAGATATCAAAACCAAAGACATCACAAGAACTAAAATTAAAGACTATATCCTTTATGAATATAGATGCAGAAATCCTCAGCAAAATACTAGTAAATCAAGTCCAGCAACATATACAGAGGATTATATGCCATGATCAAGTAGCATTTATCCCAGGAATGCAAGGTTGGTTTAACATCTAATGATCAATCAAGGCAATATATCATATCAATATTATGAATAACAAAACCCACATGATCATGTCAGTAGGCACAGAAAAAGCACTTAAAATGCAACATGCTTTTATAGTAAAATCACACAACAAACTAGGAATAGAAGATGTAGTGAGTTGAATGGTGCCCTCCTCCTCAATATGTCCACATTCCAAAACCTGTGAATGTGACATTATTTGGAAAACAGGTCTTTGCAGATGCCGTTAAGGATCTAGAGATGAGATTATTCTAGTGGGCCTTAAATCTAATGACATGAGTCTTTACAAGAGAGAAAAGACATAGAGACACAGGGAAGAAGTTCATGAGAAGATGGAGGCAGAAAATGAGTGATGCAGCCACAAGCCAAGGAATACATAGAGTCACCAGGGGCCAGGAGAGGCAAAAAAGGATTCTCCTCCAGTGCCTTTGGAAGGAGCGTCGCCCTACAACACCTTGATTTTTAGACCTTGGCTTTCAGAATTGTAAGATAATGCATTTCTGTTATTTTAAGTCATGAATCTTCTGGCAATTTGTTATGGCAGCCTTAAGAAACTAATACAGAGGGGAAATTTCCTCAACCTAATAAAGGAATCCATGAAAAACCCACAGCTAACATCATACTTAATGGTGAAAGACTGAATGCTTCCCCTCTAAGATCATGTACAAAGCAAGGATGTCTGCCCTTCTACTTGTATTCAGCCTTGTCCTGTAGGTCCTAGCCACAACAGAAACAAACTCATATAATAGAAACTTAACACAGCTAGATTAAGAAAAATGAGGAATTTATTGACACTAGTAATTGAAAATATGAGAATCCAGGCATTGCTAGACCTGTTTTATTATCAGAAATATCTTGAGGCTTTGCTTCTTCTGTGTTGGGTTACTTCTGAGGCAAGGTCTCCAAAAATTGTCACCAGTTGCTTCAGGTGTACATCCTACCAGCTAAACAATGACAGCAGAAGACAGAGTACCCTTTTCCTGAAGTCCCCAGCAGAGGCCCTGGAGCTGGTTCTTACTGCCCAGCTGGTATTCCCAGCCCATCAGTGATCAAATTAGTAAGGCCAGGCCTCTTTTGGGTTCCTTTATTGGTTGGCTAAATCTTATCACTAGGAAGGGTTTGATTGGTGCTATATTTCCTGAGAAATTCCCATTTGTTTTTATACATGGTGACACTTTGACAGGGTTTATAAAAATCATGGATCATATCCTGCCCACTTCCAACCCTTGAATTCTGTGAGTTTTCCTTTCATCTTTTGACATTGACTATTGCAGGGAGGAACATTGAGGCAAGCTCACCTGTGTCCCCTCATAGCTGACTTGATTTCTTTGCTGGGTTGCCCATTGGAGTTTTTATTTCTTGAGTAAATTAGTCTGAGAGCACAAACTGTAGCTTTGCAAATCTTATCTGCAGTTTCAGATCTTTCTTTATTTTAGGATGTTGTCTTCTGTCTCTGTCCATTTTCTGCTGCTGTAACAGAATACCACAGACCGGGTAGTTTATAAGGCAAAAAGTTTATTTGGCTCATGGTTCTGAAGGCTGGGAAGTCCAAGAGCATGGTGCCAGTGTCTAGTGAGGGTCATCCCATCACAAGGAAGGGCAAGAGAGGGTGAGAGTGTGTGAGACAGAGAGAGGAAATCAGGCTGAACTCATCATTTTTATCAAGAACCCACTCCTGAGATAATTAACCCACTCCTCAAATAACAGCCTTAGTCCCTTCATGAGGATGGTGCTTCCATGGCCTAATCATCTTTTAAAGGTCTCACCTTTCAACACTGTTTGTGGATTAAGTTCCAACACATAAACTTTTGGGAGACACATTCAAAGCATAGCATTTTCTATCATATCTTTGGCTATTTTTCTGCTTTATGAATTTTTTTTTTAAATTCAGGAACATCAAGAAAGCACTTGCTGTATGTAATTTATCTGTCCTGAATATCTGTCATTTTACCAATAGAGATTATCTCTTTGATTTTTTTATTTTGCATATTTCTCTAAAGTTGTCTTCACGTCTTGATCCTGTATCTACTTCTTACTGTTTCTATTATAACTGTTTCTATAATAACACAGTTTGCATTTCTATAATTAATTTTATTGTTTTCTTTCATTTCTTTCCTGAAGTCTAATTTCTTGTCCACTTCAAGTCTGCTTTGGTCTTTTTCAAAGAACCTATGTTCTTTTTAATTTCCCTGGAAATTTAAAAGAGGGCTCTTGCCTCACACCCAAGATCAAGGTGGGAGGGGGATTGTATAAAGATCCAGGATGCATGAGAACAGCACTGAACTATCCTATCTCATAAGCATTTATTTCTTCAGAAATTGCTGAGTCATCATTTTTGCACCTAAAGTTTGACTGATGGAAAAGATTAACTGTCTTAATAAATATTATATTTTTGATAAGTATCTCCAAAATATTATGATTACACACATCAGTTTTTTTTGTACATCGGATTAAATGACTGAGTGTCTTAGCTTGGGCTGCCATAACAAAATACCATAGACTGAGTGGCTTAAACAACAGAAATTTATTTCTTATAGTTCTGGCAACTGCAAGTCCAAAACCAACGTACCAGCAGGATTGGTGTCTGGTGAGGCTCTCTCCTTGAGTTACAGATAGCTGTCTTCTTGTTGTGTCTTCACGTGGCCTTTTCGCAGTGCATATGGTTGGAGAGAAAGAGAGGGAGAGTGAGAGTAAGAACGAGGGAGAGTGAGAGAGAGAAAGATAGAGAGACTTTCTAGAGTCTCTTCTTATAGGGAGCACTAATCCCATCATGAAGGTCCCACCCTCATGACCTCATCTAACCCCAATTACTCCCTAAAAGACCCATCTCCAACTACCATCACATTGGGGATTAGGGCTTCAACATATGAATTTTTGGGGACACAATTCAGTCCATAGCAGTGAGGCACCATTAATTTTACCAGGTGACAATATGTAAATTGTATAGCAAATGTAAAATTACAGACATCTGCCTTACTCACTGTCAAAGCTGAATTAGAGAATTTCTCCTGTGTTCCAAGAGACTAAGATCAGATTCTTTACTCTCCAACCATGTTGGCCCTCACCCAGAGAACATACCCTCTCCAGGTGTCAGTAAAGCAAATGCAGGGAATAATTCTGTCTCCTGCCCATTCAGATGCAGCCAAGAGAAAGAGCCCCATCCTTGGAGAGAGTGAAGGGGTACAAGGCCCATCTGTCTAGGCAGGTTGTGGCACACACCGATGGTGGGTACCTGTGGCCAGTCATCAGACTGTATAGGAAGCATAATGCTGGCATCTGCTCAGCTTCTGGGGAGGCCTCAGGTAGCTTACAATGGTAGGAGCAGTAGAAACAGAGTGAGGAAGGAGGTGTTACACATTTTAAAACAGCCAGATCTAAGGAGAAACCTTATTCACTATCGTGAGGACAATATCAGAGGGGATGGTGCTAAACCATTCATGAGAAATTCACCCCCATGATCCAGCCACCTCCCAGCAGGCCCCACCTCTAACTTTGGGGATTACAATTTGACATGAGATTTGGTGGGAACACAGATCCAAACCATATCAGGCACCATTTGTTGAACTTCTTTGTGCTCCATTTTCAAGAAGTTTTGTTGAAAAAGGAAGGAGAGACATGGAGTGGTAATTGGGGGGGAAAGTGGGGTTAGGAGAGGCTGTTTTTTTTTCTTTAATTAAAAGAAAATAGCATTTAAATAAACTTTTTTTTTTTTTTAAATTTAGAGACAAGGTCTTGCTCTGTTGTCCTGGCTGGAGTAGAGTGGTGTAATCATAACTTACTGCAGACTTGAACTCCTGGGCTCAAGTGATCCACCCACCTCAGCCTCCCAGGCAGCTAAGACTACAGGTGTGTACCACCACACCTGGCTAATTTTTTTTTTTTTTTCTAGAGATGGAATCTCACTATGTTGCCAGGGTTGGTCTCAAACTCCTGGGCTCAAGCGATCCTCCTGCCTTGGCCTTCCAAAGTGCTAGGATTACAGGTGTGAGCCACCACACTTGGCTGATACTATGATAGTTTTTTTTTTTTTTTTTTAAGACAGGGTCTCCCTCCATCATTCAGGTTGGAGTACAATGTGGTGAACTCTGCTCATTGCAACCTCTGCCTTCTGAGCTCAAGCAATTCTCCTGCCTCAGCCTCCCAAGTAGCTGGGACTACAGGCGCATACCACCACACCCGGCTACTTTTTGTATTTTTTGTGGAGACAGGGTTTTGCCATGTTGCCCAAGCTGGTCTTGAACTCCTGAACTCAGGTGATCTGCCCGCCATGGCCTCCCTAAGTGCTGGGATTACAGGTGTGAGGCACGTGCCTGGCCCGATAGTGTGTTTATGTGCTGAAAGGGATGATTCTGTAGAGAGGGGAACGTGATATAGGAGAGGGAGGATGGGTTGCTGAAGCCACGTTCTCGAATAGATAAGGGAGGATCTAACTATGGAAGCTTGGCTGTAATTAGACATTTTGTAGAAATCCAGATATCCCATACCCTTCAAGTCCCACTCTCTAGGAGGGTGGTGGTAAATCTCGGGGAAGAGCCCTCTGGTTTTGCCTATGGAAAGACTGGGTCTCTAGTGGCCCTGTGCTTACACTGAAGGGCCTAGGACAGGCTGGGTAATCTCTCTGAATCTCAGTTTTGGGCTCTGTTGTAAAAGGCAGATGATCCCACCCACTCCACAGAATCGTAAGTATTAAACAAGGCAATGCAAACAGATCTCGCAGCATGGAAAATAAAACTGATTTCATCATTGAGAGATAACTATGTTTACCATTTCAGTGTATTTTTTTGTAACAGTCATTTTTCCAAATATATAAATACATACCTAAAAGAGTATCGTTCTATAATATGATTTTAGCACTTAAATATATTAAGGACAATTTTCCATGTCATTAAATATTTTTCTACAACATCATTTAAAAATATGCAGATCATTCTAGTAAGTGGACTTATATTCTGTTTTAACCAATTCCTAGTGCAGACATCATGCAAGTTATTCCTTACTATTTTCTCTTATAAACAGCACTGTTATGATCTTCCTTATGGTTTTACTTTTGCATACATCCATGGTTATTTCCTTAGGGCAATTTCCTGGCAATGGAATTTCAGCTGAGTTGCCGACAAGTTCTTTTGCCTTCCTGCAGATAGAGGAAGGAGCAGATTTTGGGTGATGGCACAGCCAGCCAGCATGAACAATGGTACCCAAAGGGTGCTGATAAACGGGCTGCTGTCAACCTGGAAGCAGGACTCTGGAGGCCAGAGATAAGTTTCTAGATGTGGCCTATCCCCATCAACAAGTTAATTGCTGCCCTGGTTGAAGACATGAAGGCAAGCTTATCAAATATGAGGAAGCTGTGAGGTTGAGAAGGATATGCTGAGTGACAGAATCAAGATGCAAGGAGACCCTGACTGGCAGGGAGAATGGGCTGAAACAAACAGGAGAAACTGAAGGGGAAAATTGTAATGTCTTGAAAATGGTAACATTTCAAAAATCTAGAGAATACATGTGAAGGCTAGGGGAGACCTGGCAGGACATTAGGTCATTCAAAAAAACAGAGGTGTGGATGTGAAGTGGTTACCCCCAAAATTCATGCAAGATACTCAATAGACTCGGGCCATATCAGTTTGCGTGTAGTGTCCTGACCACATGTTGTCAGTGGATGTTGACAAGCTAGAGCTCAACCCAAGAAAAGATGATCAGGCTATTGTATGATGTAGACCATGGCTGTTCAGTAGAAATGTGATGTCAACCTTTTGTGTGTGTGTATGTGTGTATACAGCTGGCCCTCTCTATCCACGGGTTCCACATCGATGGACTCAACCAACATATTAAAAAATGTCCACAAAAGGAAAATTGGGTGGTTGCATTTTTACTGAACATGTACAGACTTTTTTCTCATCATTATTCCCTAAAAAATACAGCATTAACAACTATTTACATAGCATTTGCTTTGTATTAGGTATCATATGTAATCTAGAGATGATTCAAAGTATATGGGAGAATGTATGTACATTATATACAAACACTACACCATTTTATATAAGGGATTTAAGCATCCATGGATTTTGGTATCCATGTGTGTGTTTAGGGTCCTGGACCCAATCCCCCACAGATACTGAGGGACAACTGACATACAGATGGTCCCTGACTTATAATGGTTTGTCTCAGGACTTTTTGACCTGGCAATGGTGCGAAAGCAATACACTTTTATTTTTTTGAGACAGGGTCTCACTCTGTCGCCCAGGCTGGAGTGCAATGGCGTGAGCTCAGCTTACTGCAACCTCAGCCTCCTGGGTTCAAGCAATTCTCCTGCCTCGGCCCCCCAAGTAGCTGGGATTACAGGCATGTGCCACCACTACTGGCTAATTTTTGTATTTTTAGTAGAGACAAGGGTTCGCCATGTTGGCAAGGCTGGTCTCGACCTCCTGGCCTCAAGTGATCCACCCGCCTCTGCCTCCCAAAGTGCTGGGATTACAAGCGTGAGTCACCGTGGTGGGCCGCAATACATTTTTAGTAGAAACCATACTTAGAGAATCCATAGAACCATTCTGTTTTTTACTTTCACTACAGTATTTAATACATTACATGAAGTGGTCAAAATTTTATTATGAAATAGGCATTAGGTTAGGCGGTTTTGCCCAGTGTAGGCTAAGGTAAGTGTTCTGGCCACATTTGTGGTTGGCTAGGCTAAGCTATGATGTTAGCTTGTTAGGGTAGGTTAGATATATGAAATGCATTTTTGATTTACAGTATTTTCAACTTATGATGGATTTATCAGAATGTAACCACATCGTAAGCCAAGGAGCATCTGTATATATATATGTGTGTGTGTGTGTGTGTGTGTGTGTGTATATGTGTGTGTGTGTGTGTATATGTGTGTGTATATATGTGTGTATATATATGTATATATATAAATATATATAATTTCTAGTAGCCAATAATATATTTTATTTTATTTTGTTTTGTTTTTAGAGATGGAGTCTTGCTATGTTACCCAGTCTAGTCTCGAACTCCAGGGCTCAAGTAATCTGACTGCCCAGGCTTCTGAGTAGCTGGGATTACAGGCACAAACCACCATGCCCAGATGATAATATATTTTAGGTAACTCAAGATATCAAAAACATTATCATTTCAGCATGTAATCCATATAACCACATTATTAATGAGATATTGCATTCTTTTTCCCCCTAAGTACTAAGTCTTTGAAATTTAGTATGTATTTTACACTTCCAGTGCATCTCAATTCAGATGCTCATTTTTTAATGATTAAAATGAAATAGATTCCTACCAAAATAATAAGTTGTGTTTAGTGAAAAATATTTTATATTGCCTTATTTTTTAAATTTAAGTTTTATTTATTTATTTATTTATTTATTTATTTATTTATTTATATTTTTGAGACAGAGTCTTGCTCTGCCACACAGGTGGTATGCAGCGGTGAGATCTGGGCTCACTGCAAACTCCGCCTCCCGGGTTCAAGCAATTCTTGTGCCTCAGCCTCCCAGGTAGCTAGGATTACAGACGCGTGTCACTACTCCCAGCTAATTTTTGTATTTTTTAGTAGAGATGAGGTTTCACCATGTTGGCCAGGCTGGTTTCAAACTCCTGGCCTTAAGTGATCCACCCTCCTTGGTTTCCCAAAGTGCTGGAATTACAGGTGTGAGCCACCACTCCCAGCCTAATTTAAAAGTTAAATAATTAAAATTAAATACAATAAAAGTTTTGTTTCTCTGTTGCACTAGCAACATTTCCAGTGCTCAGTATTCACATGTAGCCAGTGGCTACCAATATTGGATACTGCAAACTTTGAATTGCAATTTGTATTTCAGCAAATTCTCCATATGGTTCCTTTGCCAATGAAAGGTTGAGAAACCCTGTCCAGAGTTCAGGCCATGATTTGGGGGAATGTCTGAAGAAACAAAGTGTACTTTGCAAGCAAAAGGGAAAAAGCTCCAGGAAGCTATGATAACAATCTTCAGATAGTTAAAGGTCTGTTGTGTGCAAGGTGAGGAAGATGTCCCCAAGTGGAAGAGCCAGGACCACAGGCAGAGGTGGGGTGGGGGTAGGAGGAAGGGAACTGGACTTCAGGAAGCTTCTTTAGTTAATTATCTCACTTAATCCTTGAAACAAAAGAAGTGAACTTGGATCCGAGTTCACATTTCACTTCTGCCAATCACTGTGCATCCTGAAGGAAGAATTAACCTCTCTGAACCTTAGTTTACTATCTGTAAAACAGGAAAAATAATAATCTGCCTCCTAGGGGTAATGTACAGACTATGTGGGCAAGGACCATATTTGCTACATTTACTGCAGCATCTCTGGGCTTGGCACAGACCTGCCACAGAGTCAACCCTCAAGAACTATTTCTTCGTAAGGCCAGGCACAGTGGCTCATGCTTGTAATCCCAGCACTTTGGGAGGCTGAGGGGAGGACTGCTTGAGCCCAGGAGTTAGAGACCAGCCTGGGCAACATGGGGAGACCCTAGCTTTACAAAAAAAAAAAATTATTGTGCATGGCAATGTGAGCCTGTGGTCCCAGCTACTCAAAAGGCTGAGGTGAGAGGATTGCTTGAGCCTAGGAGTTCAAGTCTGCACTGAGCCATGATTGTACCACTGCACTTTAGCCTGGGTGACAGTGGGAGACCCTGACTCAAAAAACAAAAAAAAAAAAAAGAGAAAAAATCCAAAACACAAAAAACTATTTCTTTGTAAACTGGCACAGCTCTAATTTGAGAAGGATGGCTATTACTGGTTCTAGCAGGCTCGTGATTTGAGGTGACAGGTTGTGTTTTTCAGGGCACACAAACCAACCCACCCCACATGCTCCTTCTTCCCACTGAAAGCCGATTTTTTTTTATTTACAGCTTCAAATTGATCTGAATCAATCTATCCTCAAACCTTTTCATTAGGCGAGTGAGAATAGAAGAGCAGGGAGGGGAGGTTGGGCTCCTCCACCTTCCCTTGCTCATCAAGTAGCAGTGGATCTCGGGCCATTTCC
The DNA here is from genome assembly GCF_000001405.40 of Homo sapiens. Classification (NCBI taxonomy): domain Eukaryota; kingdom Metazoa; phylum Chordata; class Mammalia; order Primates; family Hominidae; genus Homo; species Homo sapiens. Next base: position 78,131,045 of record NC_000010.11, read on the forward strand.
CCACTATTGAAACAAATAGCATCAAAGCGGAGTACTGAGTCACTTGAAAGTGGGTGGCTACTCTGGCCTATCAAAGTGTTTCTCTGCAAAAGACCCCACCACAGGCTTGCCAAGCCACATCTGTGCTTCTGTCAAGTAAACAAAGAATATCTACTGCTCTCAGGCAGGCACTAACATTAGCCGAGTAAGGGCTCTTTGGGGACCAGGGAAGGGAGGTTTGCATTTGAAAATGAACCACTGTACGTGGATTTATAGTGCTGCTTTTCCGACGGAGAGGGGGAAATATTTTTCTCTGGGAGATTAGAATTTACTAGTGGATTCAAGTGTAACTTTGGAGAGTGGTGGAGGTATTAGATGTGGCAGTATCACAGTATTGTTTTATTGGCAATTAGATTTCAAACTGGCACGAATGTATGAAAATAAGTCTCAGTTATGGGCCTGTGAAGTTTCTCCACCATCTGCCAACAGTTTGCTCCTTATGCCACAACATGTGTACCTTTGGAGGGAAAATGATTTAATAGCCCAAGTGAAGAGGTATAGCTCACCAAATTGTATTGGAGTTTATAGCCAATGCCTGCATTTATGATTTCTGATGCAGGGAAAGCAAATTTAAACTCACATCCATGCGTGTGCATATGCACACAAGCGTGCATGCACACACACACATCCCTTCCAGGGCCTCATAGACTCACAAACTGTCAGAGGCTGAATACAACTTCAGAAGAAGTGAGCCCAACTTCCCCACTTTGCAGTTGAAAAAAATCAAGCCCAGAGAGAGCAAAGGACTGGTCCAAGTGACACTGCATCATGGGGCAGAGCTGGAAATATAACCAACAGGACACTTGGTGTTGGGGGCTGTGGTATGCTGATAAGTGTGTAACAACCAGTTCTCTGGGAAAATTCAAGTCCTGATTTGTAGCGCTTCCCTATTTCCATGGTGTAAACATTCCCACAGTGGCTGGTTTCATGCTACCAATGTGATATCACTGAATGTGGAGTTTGGAAGAAATGTGTCTTTCACAGGACAATATAAGCCAGTTCCACTATACCACTAGAAAGGGGGAATGAGCTTGCTGCATGGAAATGTGTGGTTCACTTGTCCAGCATCCACTTTCCCTTCTGGCAAGAGTGCCCCGATTTTTCCACAGGGCATCTACCCCTACCCTATTCTTGGCCCATGAGTTTTGGGTAGGATGACACTATCATCAGCTCTGGGGACGACACATGACCCAGGACTGAACCATCAGTATATCCCATCTCCCTGGACATTGATTGGTTCAGGGATGGGCTTGTGACTCAGTTTGGCTCTCGGAGTCAGGCCCAGGATTTTGAATTACAAAGGAGTAGCCAGTTTGCCACCATAAAAGGAATGGTTGTCTGAGAATAGAGACAAACATAGAGGAAACAGAACTGGGAGATGGAGAGAATGGGCCCTGATAATATTGTTTGCTCTGGGATCTATCCCTGCTTATGAGAATCAATCAATTCTCATGTTTCTTTATCAAGTATGTCATTTTTAACAGAAAGGCTCCTAACTGATGAGTTTGTCTCTGGGAGTTATCCTAGAAAGTCTCTAGGGCCTTTGGGATCTGCTGTTTATTTGGAGTGTGAACTTTGTAGGGTCATGGGTTTTGTCTTTCTCAAAGAATTCATGCTTTTACAGAACCTAGCACAATATCTGATGTGTAGGAGATGCTCAGTAAATATTTGTTGATTGTCTTGTATCTGGCAGCTTTTGCTATATTATGATGCAGTAACAAACAATTAAATGGCTTATGACAATAAAAATTTATTTCTCACTCCTCTCTTTTGTCATTTATGTTGGCTGCAACAGTGTTCCAGGTATGTTCATCCTAGGATCCAGCCTGGTAGAATGGCTCTCGAGGACATGATGTTCTCATGGCAGAGGAAAAAAGAACAGAGGCAGAACTTTGTGGCAGCTCCTTAAGTTTTGGCTTAGATAAAGTACTTGTCACATCTGCTCATGTTCCACCAACTAACACAAGTCACGTGGCAGGGAGGTATACTCTACACAGTGATGCACTATGAGCCATAGGTATGGGCAGGGATTTATAATCAATGCTTTTATTGGTTGGGGAGTGATAATGGGAAACAATATTGCAGGCAGATAAAGAGAGAATGTGAGAATGCTTTGGATACTACCTTGTGAAATTCAACATTTGAATATCCATTGACCCAGCCATGTTACTTGTAGGTGTACAGTCCAGAGAGCCTCTTGCATATGGACACCATGAGATGTGTACAAAAATGTTTATAGTAGCATGTGAGTACAGTACAGAAACCTCAACAATGCAAACAACTCCAATGTCTGTAGGCAGGCCAATGGATATGTAAAATTAGGATACATTTACACCAAGGAATATTATACAGCAAATAAAATGAATGAATCTCAGCTATCCAGAACAATATGGCTGCATCTTAGAAACATAATATTGAGTAAAATAAGTATGCCTACAGAAGGCTACATGTAGTATGAGTCCAATTTTATAATTCATTTATATGAGAAAACATTATGTACAAAACATAAAGGAATGATGTGCATAAAATTCAAGATTTGGCTACTTTGGGTGGGGGAAAGTCTGGGGATGGGGTAGGTAGATGCAAGTTACTGGTGATGTTCTAGCTTTTAAGTTGGCTGCAGAGTTGAGGGGCAGTCATTTTAATATTATTTATTTTAACTTATATGTGTTACATTCATTCTTTACCAAATATTCTTAAAATGTAATTAGAAAGAATGCAAATAATAAAAACTAGGAAAGGAAATAATTTAAAAACAGACACAAGTGATTATGGAAACAAGCTAGCTTGTAAAAGCAGGATTCCTGGAAGCAAACTTAGCAAAATTCATTTTTGTGCAGAGTCCAAAGATCTGGAATTTCAGTTGGGGGCATTGAGCATTCTAGGTCCTCTAGATAGGCCACATACAGTGGGCAGCTCAGATCGCCGGGCCTCCCCACGCTACGGAGAGGATCTATAGCCCCACTGGCCCCAATATCACACTATTAAGCCACTTCAGGGGCTGAGATACCCAGAGGGGCCCTGCTTGTAGGGATGAGCACTCCGGGTCTACAAAGAGAGGGCCACTGCTGTGGATGGATATATTGGTCATCAAGTTTGTCCAAAAGTTGTCACCAAGAGTTTGGTCCTCTCTGGGTGTCTGAAGAAGAGTTCAATTTAGCCTTGTAAAGTTGAAGAGGTCACAGTTGGATGGCAGGTGACATCCGCCTCCTCTCCCGACCACCCCCATTCAGTGCTGACTACCCCCACAGAAGCTGCATTCTGCTGGAAGGCTTCCTTATCGGCTTTCCAATCTCAGGACAGGAGGAGGAAGTTTCAAATGGGAGATTCTGGGTCTTGAATAACCCACAAGCACCTGCCCCCAGGTGTCTCCCTGCTTTCCTGGGCTGAGCGAGGCATGTTACCGAGGGAAACCTATCTTTCTGTGGTAATTCCAGGTAATTCCAGCCCAATTGTTGTCTGAGTCTATTCCCTTGGATGGAGGGAGAGAGAAGGGGGCTGCGAGGGGCCTGGAGACGAGTCACAGCAGAAACCAGAGAGCAGGCGAGACTTCCCTCTGAGAAAGGGGAGCTTCCTTGCCCACCTGTGGGGATCGTACAAAATCTGCTCCTTGCTGGGCAGGCATGCTTGCGGATCTGTACACATTTAGGCTCATTTAGCTTATTTTAGTTTGGTTGCTTTTGGTTGCAAGTCACAGAAACCCCTCAAAAAAGGGATTTTTTTTTTTTTAGTCGAATGTATTTATACCGAAGTGGGTCTAGCTTTAAGTGGAATTTGATCCAGGTTTCAAAAAATGTCACAGAGCCTTCTTTCGCTCTTGACTCTTTGGCTCTGCTTCCTGGCGTTGGCGTCATTCTCAGGGGGCTTCTTCCCACTCCCATGTGCCAAGGTTCTCCCAGAATCTCCTGGGACTACATTAAAGCCCAACATGAAAGAAAGAGTTTCTTTGTCGCTGAATCCCCGCCAGAAGCCCTGAAATTCATTGTTTGGATTCACTTGGTCACGTGCCTCTTCCTAAGCCAATCGCAGTGGCCAGGGAATTTGATGCACTGACTGGCAGAGCCAGGTCACATGATCTCCTCCAGCGCAGGTATAAGGGATGGAGTCAGCCTCCCTAGAACCTTATGGGTACTTCAGTGAAAATCAAGGGCTAAGAGGAATAGGAAGGGGGACTGGAGGCTGAGAGGATAATCAACAAATGGTCATTCTTATATGCTGATGCTTTAGTGAATGTGAGTCATTTGCAGAAGTTCTTTGCATCTGAAAGATAATGGTTCCTGTACTACGTTGGTGGTGAAGGCATTTTTTGCTTTGGTTGTTTGCCTTGTAGATCTATGTTGATTTCTAAAACTTTAAAAAATGTTTGCTTTTAACCATGGACAGTTTTGAACATACACAAAAGCAGAGAGTAGTATAATGACACCTGCCCTGCCTTATCCATCATCTAGTTTCAACCATTGTCATATGTTGACTTTTGACTTTCAGAAGTTTCAAATTTCTACATAGTTCAATCTTGAGCTTTTCCATCGTGGTTCCTCCCACTGTTTGTGTTTAGAAAGAACCTAAGTATTCAGCTTCATTTTTCTTGAGTTTTGGGTTTTTTTTTTTTTTTTTTTGAGGTAATGTTACAAGGTGAAGCTCTGAAAGGATTTTTTCTCAGGTATCCAATTTCCCCATCTCTGTGTATTGAATCATCCATTGTGTGCTCACTGGTTTGTGATGCAGCCTTGATTTGATATTAAGTTCTTGCATACACTAGCACCTGTTTCTGGCTACACATTCTGCTTTATTGACTTGTGTGCTCTTGCACTAACACTACTTTTAAAAATTTTGTAGATGTGTAAATAAGTTTCATAGCCAATATGCCTAGTTCTTTACCACGATATTCCTTTCTTCAATATTTTTCTGCCCAATTTTATCTATTTGTTCTTCCAGATGAAACTTAGAATCATTTTTCCAAGTTCTAAAGAAAATTCCCTCAGGATTTTGATTAGAATTGGTTCAAGTCATGTGCTAAGTTGGAAAAATGAACATTTTCTCCATAGTCACTTTTCAAATCTAGAAATATGATATGCCTCCCCATTTATTTGGGTCTTGTAAGTCCCTCTGTAAAAATGGATGGTGTTGTTATCTCCTAAGGGGGTCATTCCTGGGTTGTTTATATATTTTGTGTGTTTATGGAGGAGAGATTTAAGACCTCCCATTTTATCTTCTTTCTTTGTTCTCTAAGCCTTTTTATTTTCGTTAAGTCTGGGTTGTTGTGAGTGGTTTAGACCATGCCATGAGGAGCCCAGCACCCCAACCTACTAGAGTTTATATTTCCTCTAAAATGGGAGTCCTCTGAGCTCTTATGCACGGTGGAAAAAGCATGAGATTTGACATCAAGACAGACCTGAGCTCCAGTCCCTGCTCTGCCCTTTTCTAGCTGTGTGTCCTTGGGCAAGTCAGTTTGCTTCTCAGAGTTCCATTTTCCTTACCTGCAAATGGGCATGGGTTGTTTTCTTCATTTTTCATCTTCTTTCTTTTATTGTGTTTATTTCTAAATGTGTCTTTCTTCTCTAGGAGAATCTAAACTCCTTGGGAGCAGGGGCTATGCCTCCTCCATGGTTACACCTGGGGAAGATAATCACATAACTGTGGAAGTTCGGCACCTCCAGGAAATACTGACAGCAGAGTCCAGCCAGTGGACACCATTTTAGTTCATTCAAAATAGAATCTACCTTGAGATAATCTAGAGTTCTCTCCAGGATTATGTTTTTTTAAAGAAAACTTTGAAATACAGATAATAGTTAATAAGATTAAAATAGTTAAGGCTTGTTGTGTTCTCAGCATGAGCCAGGCACCAGGGAACCACATTTCAGGCATTATTTCATCAGACTCCACAATTCCCTGGCAAGGAAGGTATGATCCCGTTTTAGCTCAAAGATGATAAGAAACTAAGATCACACAGCAAGATGTGGTATGGCTGGGATTTGAATCAACTCGGTGCTCTGTACTGGAGCATCCTGCTATTTCCCCTATAGCAATCAAGTAGAGTGTCCTAACAGTCCCTCAGGCAAAGGAAGTAGTCAGAAATGCAGGTCTGTACCTGCTTTCCCTCTTGTGCTGTTTTTAGCACAGAAGTCAAGTAAGAAAGCCATCGATATGTGTTAGTTGCCTTCCTCTCCTCCTTCCATTTTTAGCATCCCCAGAAGAAGGGCTGCTGTCAGCACTTCTCATTCTGGTGTTAAACTCTTACCCAGTCTCTGCCACCCTGTGCTCTCCTTACAAGAGCGACAGCCTGGCATGGCTGTGGAGGACCGCTGGGTGGCAAGAAGGGGTACAGAGTATGAAGGGAGCCCAGATAATAGAGGCAAAGGACTTGGAACTTGGCAGGATGACAATGGGGAGAGAGCTCTGGCCATGGAGCCAGAGGTATCCACCACTTGATAGCTATGTGACTTGGTGCAATTCTCTTAGCAATCTCTGCCTCTGCCTCCTCATCCCAAAGATGGCGGCTGGATACTCCTGATGGGCTGGAGTGATGCTGGTAGTTTACTCTGGACCGTGTAAGCTACCTTCCTTCCTTTCCTTCCTTCCTTCCTTCCTTCCTTCCTTCCTTCCTTCCTTCCTTCCTTCCTTCCTTCCTTCCTCTTTCTCCTCTTTCTCTTTCTTTCTGTCTTTCTTCTTGGCTTACAGGTGGCTAATAATGTGATCCTTCCTTCCTTCCTTTCTTTCTTTTCTTTTCTTTCTTTCCTCCTTTCCCTCCCTCCCTCCCTCCCTGTCTCCCCCTGCTTTCTTTCTTCCTTTTTCTTTTTTGTTTTTGAGACAGTGTCTCACTCTGTCGCCCAGGCTGGAGTGCAGTGGTGCGATTAGGGCTCATTGCAGCCTTGACCTCCCTGGGCTTAAGAGAACCCCCAACCTCAGCCACCCAAGTAGCTGAGACTACAGGCATGTGCCATCATGCCTAACTAATTTTTGTATTTTTTTGTAGAGATGGGGTTTCGCCATGTTCGAACTCCCAGGCTCAAGTGATCTGCCCACTTTGGCTTCCCAAAGTGCTAGGATTACAGACGTGAGCCACTGCACTCAGCCTGATTTTTCTTTAAGGGAAAATAAAGATGGCTAGCAGGCTGAGCCTCTGTGTGTGTGTGTGTATGTGTGTGTGTGTATGTGTGTGTGTGTGTGTAAGAGAGAGAGACAGAATGGGTATAGATATGTGTTTGTGTACATGCATGTGGTTGAGTATTTGTGTGCTCATATGTGTGCCCCTATGTACTTGTATAAATGTGTGTATGGATGTATATATGTGTGTGAAAAAATGTGTGTGAATGTGTCTGTGTGTGTGTGTGTGATTGCATGACAGTATGTGCATGAGTATATGTGTGTGTTTGTGTATATACGAGCACATGTATGTGAACATGTGTATGTGCATGTATTTGTGCATGGGTATGTGTATGTATAGTTATGGGTGTGTATGTATGCATGTGCATATGTTTTTGACTATATACATAAATGCTTGTGTTAGTATAAGCATGTGTGTGGATGTGGTTGTGTGAATATGTGTGTGTATGTGCATGTGTGTATGACCATATATAGGTGTGTGTTTGTGTATGTGCACACAGTTGTGTATGTATGTGAGCACTTGTATATGTCTATAAATTGTGTGTGTGTGTGTATTTATGTGTATAGGTATATCTGTGTGTTGTATGAGTGCATGTGAGTGTGGGCAGGAATAGATATATATGTGCTTACGTGCATTTGTTCATGTGTGCATGCATGTGTATTGTGTATTTTCCAGCATGAGTATGTGCACACTTGTTTATGTATATGTGCTTGGCAGTATATGTGTGCACATGAGAGAGAAAGTAAGAGTGTGGGGCTATGTGATTATGTGTGTAAGTACACACATGCATATTTGACTACATGTGGGTATGAGTGTGTATGGTTGTGTATATCTGTGCATAGGTGTATGGATGGCTGTGAGTGTGCATTTGACTATATAGCTGGAGAGGCATGTTTATATGTGTGCAGTTTTGTGTATGTGTGCATATGTGTCTGCACATATGTGTGTGTACACTAGAGAAAGAATGCATGTGTAGGAGTGAAACTTCATGTGTGTGGGATTCTGTGGATGTGTGCACATGTGCATGTGGCTGCATATGTATGTGTGCATGGGTCTGTGTGAGTGTGTGTGTGTGCGTGTGCAGGCGGAGGGCCTGGGCTATGGAGCGGGGGGCCTTTCCTTCGCTCCTGACAGATGGTCCAGCAAATGAGGCCCCTCTGCTACCTGCCTGCTCGCCCTCCCTAGGGCCTGCTTCCTCCCGGCAGTCCTGCTGGAGCCCCTGCGGCGCTTCCTCCCTCCCTCTCTCTCTCCCTAACATTTAGCTGCTGTGTGGGGAAGGTGGGATTAGGAAAGAGCTGGTCAGGGAGGTAGGCCTTGTCTCAGCTGGCTGTGGCAGGACTGGGAGGCTCAGAGTGTTATCTGTGTGTGTGTCTTGTTTCCACGGCAGGGAGGCAAAGTCCGGGCAGCCCTCACCAGCGCCTGGGCTCCATCCACAGGGTGGGCAGGCAGCCCAGGGTGGAAGGGCCTATGCTTTGCAGACAAAAATGCCAGATGGTGGGAATTTGGGGCGGAGAAGGGGGGCTCCACCGCCTGGCTGCCAAGGGTTAGGAGGTTTCCAGGGCTCTGGAGAAGGGGCCTGGGGAATTTGGAGTGTGCTGCTGTGGGCTGTGGGGTTTTTTTGGTGGTGGGGGGCATCATGTTTTTGCATATTTCAGGATATATTTCCCCTTTGGACGTCTATCAGCTTGTTAAAAAGTTGGATCATGAAGATTTAGCTATTTTGATATCAGGAGAGTACATGTTCCTGTAAGAAAGCCAACACATTTTTTTTAACAGAAAATATTTATTGACAAGTTATTAAAGCAGCACCAAATAAAACAGACACTTAGATGGGGCGGTTGGATTGTGAGTCAACCGAGGGGCATGGCCAGAGGCTGGGTTCCGGTTCTTTCAGGACTGGGTTTCACCTGCTGCTGGTTGGTTTTCTGAGCTTTGCTCTCCCTCAGCCTCATGTCACAGTGTACGGAGTTTTCCCAGGTGGATCCACTTGCAGCGATGCACTTTGCCATGTTCTGCTGTGGACAGATGTTGCCATCTCTGCCCCTCCAACCCAGCCAGTGTGGGTCTCTATAGAGAAGCCCCAGCGTCTTTGTCCCTGCCAGGATGAACATGTGTGAGCAGCACAACTGTGGACAGGAACCAAAGGCCTTTTTTTTTTTTTTTTTTTTTTTTGGCAAAGGGAAACAGTGAGAAGAGGGATGATTTTATGTGAGCATGGTGTTTCCTGGCCCTTCTCCCCTCCCAAATGCTAGCGTCTGCACAGGAGGGGTGCCTCAGAAGGAGCCTTGGAATAATGGGTGGGAGCAAGAAGCAGGTTGGAAACAGGTGGCAGTCTTCACAGCCTCAAAGAAACTGCCAGCTCCCTGCCCCTGGCCTCATCCCCTGTGTCCAGGAAGGTGTGGTTGTCACCAGGCTCAGAAAACCTCCATGCTTTCACGTTGAATAAGTCCAAATTCCCGGGACAAGGCAGTTCCGGCTGGAAATGTTGTCCACGTCCCCACTGCACTCTCCCTTTGGTGGTCCATCTATCACTCTAACCTTTCTAGCTCACTCCAGGCTCTAAATGCCATTTGCTTTTTTTTTTTAAACAGAAAATATTTATTGACAAGCCGTGAAAGCAGTGCCAAATAAAGCAGAAAATTAGATGGGCTGTCAGTCACGCTGCGTCCTCTGTCTAGGGTCTCCCTCTTGTTCCTCTTCCCGCCCACATCCCATCTCTCCTGGGCTCAGCTAAAATGTCATTTCCTCCTTTCTTCTTTATGCTCCTCTGACATGTTCTGGATGAAAACAATCTCCTGTGACTCCTGACTGCAACAACTGCTTTCTCTTGTTGAGATCAGTGGGGCTGCACTGAATCCACTCAGTCTCCCTGGCACCCAGCATAGGTCCCGGTACATGGGAGGTGCTCTGTTTGCTGAGTGAATAAATAAAAACTCAAGTACCAGTTTCCTTTGGGAACTGGTAGCACCAGGTATAGATATGATGCTTCTCAGCTTGAAAATAAATGCTAATCTGCCTATACCCTTATCGTCATAATCATCATGATCATTGTTGTTATTAGGTATGCATGAATATATGTGGGCGTGGGTACCTGCCTGTGAGATAACACTGACCCATTTAGCAGGCATGGGATCTTCCTGTAAAAACAGCATGGACAAGCTTCACTCAGGAAATAAGACACTGAACCTGAAGACTTTAGCCTTTATCCCACCCCACATTTTTGTCTCCTGCCACATTCCTATGTTAAACATGAACTTCATCAACACCGTCTTGCATGTGGCCTCTCATCCACCTATTTTTTTTTATTATCAGCTTTGCTTTTGCCTTCTAATGCTTTTCTGGTTGAATACATTTCTATCCCTGTGGGAATGACAGATAGGGCAACAATTCTGGACTGAGCATGTGCTGGGTGCTGAGGATGGAGAGAAGGAAGGAGTGGGACCCTTCTAGCCAGGAATCACATTCTAGAAGGAGAGACATGTGTAAACAGATGCTTCTAGAGCTCTGCCAGTGCTTCGGCAGCAATAGGAACAGACTTGCTATTGAAGCACAAGGGAGAGACCACCACACCAGAAAACTACTCGTCCTCTCAGGTCCAGCTCAAATGTCCCTTACTCTATAAAGCCTTCTTTGATTCCCCCAAGAGCAAGAGAGCAGGAGGGGCTTTAGATGGAGTGAATGGCATGTGCAAAGGCATGGGACCTGAGAGAACCTCATGTATCTGGGTTATGGGGAGTGGTTTGATGTGGCTGGTGTGTATTTGGTGGGTGCAAGCCCCAAGCCTTGGTGGCTGACATGTAGTGTTGTGTCTGCGGGTGCACAGAAGTCAAGAATTGAGGTTTGGGAACTTCTGCCTAGATTTCAGAGGATGTATGGAAATGCCTGGATGTCTAGGCAGAAGTTTTCTGCAGGGGGGCACCCTCATGAAGAACCTCTGCTAGGGTGTGTGGAAATGAAGTGTGGGCTTACAGCCACACAGAGCCCCCACCGGGGCAGTGCCTAGTGGAGCTGTGAGAAGAGGGTCCTCCAGACCCCAGATCCACTGACAGCTTGCACCATGTGCCTGGAAAAGCTGCAGATACTCAATGCCAGCTTGTGAAGGCAGGTGGGAGGGGGGCTATACCCTGCAAAGCCACAGGGGCAGAGCTGCCCAAGGTCATGGGAGCCCACCTCTTGCATTGGTGTGACCTGGATATGAGACATAGAATCAAAGGATATGATTTCAGAGCTTTAAGATTTGACTGCCCTGCTGGATTTCAGACTTGCATGGGGCCTGAAGCCCCTTTGTTTGGCCAATTTCTCCCATTTGGAACAAGTGTATTTACCCAATGCCCATACTGCCATTGTATCTAGGACGTAACCAACTTGCTTTTGGTTTTACAGGCTCATAGGCAGAAGGGACTTGCCTTGTCTCAGATGAGACTTTGTTCCTGGACTTTTGGGTTAATGCTGGAATGAGTTAAGACTTTGGGGGACTGTTGGCAAGGCATGATTGTGTTTTGAAATGTGAGGACATGAGATTTGGGAGGCGCCAGAGGTGGAATGGTATGGTTTGGCTGTGTACCCACCCAAATCTCATCTTGAATTGTACTTCCCATAATCCCCACGTGTCATGGGAAGGACCCAGTTGGAGGTAATTGAATCATGGGACAGTTACCACCATGCTGCTGTTCTTGTGATAATGAGTGAGTTCTCATGAGATCTGATGGTTTTATAAGGGGCTTTTCCCTCTTTGCTTAGCACTTCTCTTTCCTGCCATCATGTGAAGAAGGATGTGTTTGCTTCCTGTTCCGCCATGATTGTAAGTTTCCTGAGGCTTCCCCAGCCATGCAGAACTGTGAGTCAATTAAAGCTCTTTCCTTTATAAATTGCCAAATCTTGGACTGTTCTTTATAGCAGTGTGAGGATGGACTAATACAGTGGGTGAGTGTGTGGGCATAATGGGAGATGAGGCTTGCAGACAGGTGGGTTAATGTCATGAAGAACCCTGAATGCCCTATTGAGAAGCTTAAATTTAATCCTCTCATAAATCGTTGGGGGCCACCGCAGCACTTTACATATATCTGCATTTTAAAAAGACTTCTCTGAGTCAGTGTGGATGATTGGACTGAGCAGAGGTGGAGAGCAGGGACTCAAAGGGACTCAAAGAGAGGTTGGGCTGATGGAATTTGTTGACCATTTGGATGTGTGGAAAGAGGAGTGCATCTCTTAGGATGTGTTCAGGTGTAAGACACAGAAGCCTTGACTGATGGGGGCTTACAGACATAGGGCTCATTTTCTCATGTGACAAACATCTGAGAACAGGTGGCTGTAGGCAGCAGTTCAGTGGCTGAGTACTGTCAGAGTCTATGTTTCTGATGTCCTTTCAACCATGTCATTGACTTCACAAGATAGCTACTAGGGTTCCAAACATCTCCTCTATATCCCAGGCAGGAAGAAGAGGAAGGGAGTGCCAGCCCATCAGTTCCTTGTATCAAAGAGCCAACTAAATGCTCAGGCTTATCTTTGGCAGACTTTTACTTCGGCCTTTTCGGCCAGACCTGGGTCATGTGGCCTTTCCTAACTGCAAGGAAGGCAGGGAATGTGAGCAATGGGATTGTTGCGATTGGTTCAGACCAGTTGCAATCCATTTCCTTGGGCTGGGCACAGTGCCACCCTAAGGCAAATCAGGCCTGTGGTAGCTGGGAAGAGGTGGGGAATGGATCTAACAGTGGGGAATGGATGCTGGAAGGGCATCTGACAGTGTTGGCCACCATCAGTAAGAACACAAGGTCAAAGATGATGCCAGATGCTGGCCCTGCTGGCTGGGGATGGCATTCAGCTACATGTTGGGGGAAGGAGTGGATGCTTGTGGTGGAGAGAGTGGCTTCAGTCTTGCATATGTAACCTACGTGTCACCTTGGATCACTCTACCTGTTAAGATCTGGAGAAGATTTCCTTGAGCCCAAGCTTCCTTGAATCTTGAATGGATTTGTAAAAGCAAATGTGACACAAAGAGTTTAAAAAAATTTCTGGGTGGCTCATGGTTATCTGGCTCTAATCTTCTGCTGAATTAGTTCAGGTTAGTGATGACTTAGGGTACTGTCATGTAGTATTTTGTCCACAAATATGGGGAACCTGATGTAGACTAGCTCTTTCCCTTATTACTCCTCCCTTTCACACACACACACACACACACACACACACACACACACACCCCGTTTTATCAAGGCATGTGTGTGCATAGATGCCTTTACTGAAGGGGTGTGAAGAAGAAGTGATTTATATTGCAAAAACACACACAACTTGAATTTAAGATTAGACATTTCTTTCTTTTCTTAAAATGTACCTCAACTCTTTCTATGACTTGGGTTCTAAACTTCCACCATGTTCCAGTCTTCTCTCCTTGCTCATTCTCTCTCTCGCAATACCCCAGTCCTTCTCATCTCTTGGGAAGAACACATGCCACCTCCAGCTGATAGTTCCTGGATTTGCCCTATGGTCTTATGAGGTTTAGGGTGGGCATCTGCCCTGATCGGTTGGTGCTTGTGCTGTACTTTGTTATCAGCTAGTTTGAATATTGCCCTGGCTTAGCTCAAAGCTCAGTTCTGTGCCTCCCACCACACACCAAGGGCTTATTACTCTGCAATTACTGCTGGTTTGGGCCCACGTGATTAATACTGCCGCTGCCTACCCAGGCTCTGTCTGCTAGTTTAGGGAGAAGGGTCTCTTGTGTCCTGTTAGGCATGGATGTGTTGAGTTTGGGAAGACCCCAGAAGTTACATCACCTACTTCTCCCTTACCCAATTGCTCCTATGAGTAACTACCCAGGGCATGACTGCAGTGCTGAGAAATGATGTCTTCCCCTGGGTCCCACCCTCTGTGGCTGATGAACTGGAAGTGGCTGGAAGCAAGCTCGCTCCTCAGATGAGAATGGGGGTAGGGAGGAGCCCCACAAATCTTTCAGTGGAAAATAAAAAAATCAAATGGTATTAATTTATCTGCACAACTCATTGGGCTTAAAAGCACAGCCTGAAATGACTTCTTGATTGAGAGAAGATGCTTCATTAATCTTAACCCTCTCATTTGCAAGTGTGGAGAATGGAGACTAATGGCTGACATTCAGGACATAAACCTGCAGACACTGAGCTGGAATTACAGAGAAGTCACAAGAAGGAGAGGAGAAGCAAGTGGGCCAGGTTGATGCAAGGGGACTCAGGGTCCTGAGGGGTGGTGGTGATGGGAAGGGGGGTGTGTTCGAGCTAGAAATATTATCTATTGATTTAATATCATAAATCATGCTGGAGACAGTCCTCTGGGTCCTGAGAGTGAGGGCGCTGGCCTGGGAGTCAGGAATCCTAGGTTTGAGTCTGGTTCCTTCATTGCCTTCAGGGTGACTTGGGCAGGTTGGAACCTCTCTGGACCTTGGGTTTTATTTCTATAAAACTCAGGGAGAGAGTGTGTGGGGAGGTGCCTGATGGTTTTCAGGTCCCTCTCAGTGTTAGGATGCTTGACTCTATCGACCACCGGTGACAGATGGCAGCTGGGTTTGGCACTGTAGCCTGGGGTTTAAGGCAATGCCTCTGCCTTATGCAGCAAACTTACCTGCTCATGAGATCAAACGTGAGAAGAGAGCCACATGAAGGTGTCAGAAGGTCAACATGCCGAAGGAGTGTCCCACAAGGGTAGTACTCTAGTGGGGGTTGGGGGAAGGGAGACTTCTTTACAGTTGGGTGTGGAAAGAATCATAGATGGCTTCATGGAAGAAGAGGGCCTTATGTCACAGGTCAGGCTTTGAAAGGAAGAGAGGATAGAGGTGGAAAGCTTCTACTTCCAAATGGGATCAGGTATTTATCTTGGGGCCCATGAAGAACCATGATTTCTGGGATGAGGGGAAAAAAAAGACCAGCCATGGTGAGATCAGCTGGAAGGCAACCTCAGGTAGCCTCTGAGCAACACCAAACCTTATTTCATGATGCCTGAGATTCCACCATCAGACAACCATTTCTGGCGACTTAAAGGATTTTTTTTCAGGTTGCTTACCCACATAGTGACATTGGGCCCATGAACAGGCTACTCTGAATATCAGGTTCACATCAATAAAATTAGAACAATAGCATAGGTAGGTACGTAGGTAGGTAGGTAGCTGGGATTAAATGATCTAAGCATATAAATGCACAGCACAGTGCCTGAAATGCAATCAGACCTCACTAAACATTAACTGCTGTCATAGGGTTATGACGTCATTATGGAGAACTTACTGTCCCAAGCACTGTGCTTTACATTTGAATAATAAGTAATGCATTTTAATAATAACTCTATAAGGAAAGTATTATCCTCATCTCTAATTTTATAGAAGCCCAGGGCACAGAGAGGTTAAGTAACTTGCTGAAGGCCTCACAGGTAGTGAAAGGTGGAGGTATAATTTGATCCCAGGCATCTATACTATTAACCACCCTGCTACCACTTCTCTTAATATTAGTATGATTAGTTAGTTTTCAAAAATAAGGCTGCAGGTCCTACTGACTGCTGGAAGGAGAGAAGTGAGTGGAAAATCATTTCCCAGTGTTTGGTCAACCCAAGAATCCTAGGAGGCATAGTGAACCCTGGGAGCAGGAATACCATAAGCCTGCCCTAGCAGGAATTTACGATATAGGTATGAGGTCAGGCTAGAATGATTCAGACTGGGATCAGGGACCAGGGTCTCAGAACTGGGGTAGAATGTTCTGGATGAACTGGAGCAGGCTAGAGGCAAACTTGTCCTATGTCTGTCGGGATCCGTCTCCCCAGCTTTCAGGAGATGGTGAGCAGAAGTGACTCTTTGGTCATTATAAGGTTATTGCCTCAGACTTCTAGTGTTGTCTAGCCCTTGGAGAGCTCCTAGCTTGAGCTTTCCATGGACTCTTTCGTGGAACATGAGTTCTGGGAGCTTTTCCTCTAAAGTGTTTCTGATCAAATAATCCTTGGAAACTGCAACTCCATCTTCCTATAGCAGCTGCTATAGGAAGGGTCTTGCCTATATCTCCCTCCCTACCATGCTAGTGGACTGGGCTAGATTTTCAACTGCCAGTATCTGCATCTCTGCCTGAGGGATTTCTGCTTATGCTTCAGAAACAAGGGGAAGTGCTAGACAATTAATGACACCCCTCTCAACTCCTGACAGAACAGCCCTCAAGCAATGATGGGCTGGCAATGGTGTATAACTACCCCAGCTCCCACCCTCCTAGTGTGGACTAACTCTGAGGCACATGCTCCCCACCATTGCCCAGAGATCCCTGGTGGGATTAAGTTCCAGTTGTTCACAGAGATAACTTGCTTGGTATTTATGCTTTATGGCTGCTTTCTCTTTCCTGTCTCTTCTTCATTTTCCTACTAAAGTTTCCTGAGATCACTTTCCAAACAAACTGCTTGCACTCAATTCCTTGCATTATAGCCTGTTTTGGGGGGAACCCAAGCCAAGATAATTACTCTTGGAGATTCCTACAACACATTAAAGCATTAAAGGCTTTGGGTAATCTTATAGTAAGGGTATCTCAACAGTTCAGGCTGCTGTGACAGAATACCATAGACTGGGTGGCTTAAACAACAGACATTTATTTCTCACAGTTCTGGAGGCTGGGGAGTCCAAGATCAGGATGCCAGCATGGTCAGGCAGGTTCTGGTAACTGTCTCTCTTCCCAGTTTGCAGACAACTGTCTTCTTGTTGTGTCCTCACATGGCAGAGAGCAGAGAAAGAGTAAAAGCAGCGTCTCTCCTGTCTCTTGTTATGAGGGCACTAATGCCATCATGAAGGTGTTAGTGACCTAATTACCTTCCTAAGGCCTCATCTCCAGATACCATTACATTAGGAACCAGAGTTTCAACATGTGTAATTTTAGGGAGGAGACACAAACATTCAGTTCATGACATGAGAAGACCTATTTGACTTTAACACAGTGTTTCCCAACTTGCATGACCAGAGAATTTTTTTTCACCAAGCACCTTGTAACCTCCCAGGGAGCATTATTCTATGGTCCACACTGTGGGAAATCATAGTCTAACCCTACCTTGCAGTTTATAGCTGAGTTATCTGAGGCCCAAAGAGGGAAGGGAGTAGCTGAGCCCATTCTTGGCAGAGCAGGAATTAGGACTCATGTCCCATCCACTCCTGATAAATGTGTTTTCCAACCACCATACTCCTCCCCCCCCCATCTGTGATCTGCAGAAAATAATATTGACTCCATAAGAGCTAACGTAACATGTGTGAATATCCTGAGTAAGCTGAAGAGGATTATACAAATATGCGGAATGATTTATTCTGGCAGTGGAAGTAGTGGGGGCACCAAACAGAAGGACCAGGGAGCTGACTTTTGCGGGGAGACTGCATCTGCCCTGGAGGGGGAATGTGACCGGAATTTGTTCAACCTACTGAGTTTCCTGAAAGGAGACTCCTACACCCCCACCCCAGCAAACCCAGTGTTGATCTAAAATATTAGCCTAGAGGAAAGTTGGCTTGAAGAGGGGCAGCATCCATCTTGGAATGTCCTTATCTCATTTCCATAGTCACCGGAGACAGCTGGAAAGATAACCAGATGTTCAAGCATCTCTTCCTTGCTCTCGCTCACTTGCTCGCTCACTCTATTTTTTTTTGTAAATTGAATTTAAAGGACCTGTTTCTTAGCAACAGCAGCAGTCAGTGGTTACAAAGTCCTCCTTGGCCATTTCAATGCCCAGGGTTTCAGTAAGCAGATGAACCTCTCAGTACCAGCTGGAGACTGGGGACAGATAGCAGGGCCATGATAAAAGTCAGCAATCTAGTGCTCCATTTGTGTGTGTGTGTGTGTATGTGGGGTGTGTGTGTGTGTGTGTGTGTGTGTGTATGTGGGGTGTTCCCAAAGGACCTAACATGAGGGCAGTAGGGCCCTTAGAGCCATCTTTGGCTCTGGGGTGCATGTGGTGTGTGATGACAGCTGGACTTCCCTGGGCTGAAAGCTGAGTGTGGCTGCTCCAGCTCTGTTCTGGGGAAGCTGTTGTCATGGATGGTGTGGCTTTGTGACAAAAGTGCTAGATGAAACCTAAGGAAACTCAGGTCTAGTCTCAGCAACATTGTAGTGTTACCTTAGATAAGCCATCAAACTTACCTGAGCCTCAGCTTCTGCACCTGTCAGGAAGGTCGTAACACCACTTGGCCAAGCTGAGGGACAGAAAAGGTCAGGGCATGTGGAAATTCCTCAAAAGGCACGAGGAATGATGATGATGTCAGGGGTTAGACATCTCTTTTCTCTGGCCTGAAATGCTTACTCCTCCCTCCCCTAGAGGAATCGAAACTAGATCCTGGAAGCACTAGGATGTCTCTAGGCTTGCGGGCAAAAATTATGGGGAAGGGGGGGTCCTACCTGGGAAAGGAGAGGAGAAAGCCTCTCTGTACAGATCTGGGGTCACAGCAGTGAAGGTGCTTTGGAGACACAGAAGGGCAGAATATTGGATGTTAAGAAACCTTAAGCCTTTTATTCTAATGTCTCTTAATGCTTAGATCCTTGACTACTGAAGTTGAAATCCAGTGGTCCACAGGTCAGATATGGCTCTCACAGTGTTTTGTAATTTCTCAAATTAGTTACTAACAGTTACAAATTAGCAGACTGCACATAAAAATCATGATTTCCAGTTCCTTTGAATAATCAGAAGGAGTGATTTGCACATCATGCATCTAGAGCTGAGCAGAGGCTGCTCCATTTCAATGCAGTCTCTGGTTTGTCATTGTCCCCACCATTCTCAGATGCCTTCTAACTGGGCCTCTTTACTCACCTCATACCAACCTGATTCTTACAGACATCTGAGTTTGAAATCCCTGCTTTCCTGGACATCCCTTGGACATCTGAAAATGGGGATGTTAAGAAAATCTACCCAAAATAGTTACTATTAAGTTGAAATAAAGTTATTTTCCTGGCACATAGAAGGGGTTGAAAAATATTGGTTTCCATACTCCTTTTAAAGCTTTCAAGACTTTGAGTCATTTGTATTAGTTGGTCAATCATAGGGGCCTAGAATGAGTCTTTCTAGAGGACAACCTTTATTTAAGCACAAATTCCTTCTGCAATTCATTCATTCATGTAGGCATTACTATACCAGGGGCTGTCTCCAAAAGGTGCATGTTTAAGGCTTGGCTACTTATGATGTGGATGACCTCGGGCAAATCTTTGACATCTGAGTTTCCCCAGTTTCTTTCATTATTTCATTGATTTATTCATGCATGCAGACATGCATTGATTTATTTTGTGCTAGGCATCATGATACTAGGTGGTGAGGCTTCAATGATGCATAAGACACAGCCAAAAGAAATCTTGGTCCTGCTTCCTAGAGCAGAGCCTGAGGCAGGTATTTGGATGCATGTGAATCATAGAGGGAGTGCTACTAGGAAAAGCCTTTAATGAAAGGAGTAAAACAGGATAGTGAAGGAGGAAAAGTCAATGTGAAGTCTTGCCTAAGTCTGATCCATGAGGATAATGGAGCCCTGAATTGTAACTTAGACTGCAGCCCTCTCTTATCCATTGGGAAAAGGAGTGACATTTTATACTCCAATGTCAATCAGGCACTGCCTGTGGACTGTATTCTCTGGGAAGAGTTGTATAACCTCTGAGCAAAGCAACATCTCCCATCAACTAAGGAAGAGCTGCTGGAGAAAGGGGGCAGCTGCGAGCTATTAGTAACCAACACTCACAGCAGTTGGAAGATGGGTGCCTTGCTTGTAAAAGAGGATCTCTGCAAGGCACCAACAACATATAGCACAATCCGCCACGTGCACCTCTCAGGTTCTTTTGATTCTCACATTCAGTTCACTCCACCTGGTCTCAGCTTCTCTAGAATTCTGTGGTTACGTTTCTGAGGAAACCTACAAGAAGAGGATTAGTGGGGTGAACTATAGTTTCTGTTGCTGAAGTTGCTCTCAAGGCCAATATTGATCATCAATATCTTTTTCTACTACTTGCTTTAGATTTTTCATATGCTTGGCTAGCACTTCTGCTGGGCTGGGTGGCTTGCCTAGTGGGGTGACCCAGTCAATCACCTCTAAAGGCCTGTGCACCTGGTTACTAGATTATGGTTGGTTATGTATAGATAACACTGGGCACAGGAGTACCAAGGGACAACCCAGTGGATGTGGATCACTTGAATTCCAAACACACTTCTCCATGGTCTCATGTGGCAGCAAGCCACACTTCCTTTTGATGTTCAGGGCCAACAACCCCTGACACTATGGCAACCCTTCCTGCGCCTACTGATTTGTTAACCCAAGGAGCAGTGGTAGTAGCTAGACCAATCTTGTTGAGAAGTCTATGCTGTTGAGTTCATGCATAACTCAATCTCTGCTATCATGATTATTTTGTTTATGGGCTCATTGTGTAAGACAACAGTGGCCAAGAACTGAGGCTGGCTAATATTGCCTGGCTAAGTCATCTTGTCTAGTCTTTCACAGTGGATACTCTCTGGTGTGTGTTAACATACAATACAAAGATATATGTGTCCGTTCCCACAGCCCATTCATACACCTCTACCTAAGACTTCCTTGTTCTTGATCTCGAGCCTTGTTCATTTCAGACTCTTGACTTACAGGCTATACCATTTGCCACTTTCCACCAGTCTATGTATATTCCTACCTCAGGCCACTTTTCTCTCTGCACAAAGTGGATGACCAGGTGACCAGGCACATTGTCTGAAGCTTTTCCCATTTCAAGAATTTCCCCTCCCTGCTGTCTTTCAGGTGACTAGGTGCATTGTCTGCCTTTCAGAGCCCTCCTGAATGGGGCTGGAGTGCAGCAATTTCCATTTTCAGCTTGTGCCAACATCTAGGATCAAAACTTGAACTTTTCCTTTCTCTGTTGGCTGGCCATGGGGAACCTCCATAATACCATATGTGAGCTGAGGAAGACATTGACACAAATGTGTTTGGTGACATGGAGTATGGTCCACCTGTTTGTTCAATTACTTCTTCCCTCTGCATTTGTCTGAACTTGATCCCGGATCTTCCACTTCCATGTTCGATGGGTTGTTGGCTTTTTGACTTGGCAGTGGGGCTGACAGTACCCAGCTCATGAGGGGCAGTTCTGGTCTCATGGTTACCTGGTGTTCCACGATCAAATACTCTTGTCTCTACCAGAGTCTTTTCCAGTAGCATGCTAGAAGCTGTTTTTGGAACTGTGTATACATCTCTGCTGCAGATGGCATGGTTTTGTTCTAGAACCCTTTAGGTCCGCTTATGACTCTGCTGTTAGGACTTGCAGAGATTCTACAAGATGTTTTTTTTTTCTACCACAAATACCTCTGATACTATGGGGTCTACTGGATCATATGGCCTGATAGAATTTGGCTCTGTGTCCCCACCCAAATCTCATTTTAAATTGTAATCCCCATGTGTCAAGGGAGAGACCTGTAATCCCAAAGCATCGACGGAAGGAGGTGATTGGATCATGGGGGCAGTTTCCCCCATGCTGTTCTCATGATAGTGGGTGAGGTCTCACAACATGATGGTTTTATAAGTGTTTGGAAGTTCCTCCTTCACTCTCTCACCTGCTTCCCTGTAAGACGTGCCTGCTTCCCTTTCCACCATGATTGTAAGTTTCCTGAGGCTTCCCCAGCCATGCAGAACTCTGAGTCAATTAAATATCTTTTCTTTATAAATTACCCAGTCTCAGGCAGTTCTTTAAAGCAGTGTGAGATCGGACTAATACATGGCCTAAGTAGAAGTGCTGCTTGTATCACAGCAATTGCAGTACCAGGCAACTGAATCTGTTGCCTGGTACTTTTTTACACTGGACCTCACTCAAAACTAGCAGCCTCTTGAATCACTGGGCAAATGGGTTGGAGCAATATTCCTAAGTGTGAAATACGCTACCTCCAATGTATTTGCTTCTTTCTTAGTGGTAGAAGGTACAGAGCACACTAACTTGTTTTTTATTTTGGCGGGGGGATTCTCAGCATCCCCAAGACCTTGAGACCTCTAAAAACAATAACTTTGGCAGGTTTCTGGCTCTTTGTAGGGTTGACCACCTGCTTTTGTGAATACTTGTATCTCACTTGTTACTCCTTACTCAGAAAGGCCTGACTTACGTGATGTCATCAGGGGTGCCATCAGCGTGACCTTTGTGATGCTCTGTGGAATGCCCAGATGGCCCAAGCCCCTCTGGATATAGTCTGACAGAATCAAGGAGAATTAACAGACCCCCAGGGCAGCACTGAGTGAATACTGCTGTTCATCTCATGGGTATGAATGTGAACTGTTTTAGTTACTTCTTTCTGCTGGACACGGAAAAGAAAGCATTTGCCAGATCAATAGCTGCATACCACTTACCTGCAACTATAAGTTGCTCTGGATAATTCCCACATCCGGCTCAGAAGCTGCACATGGGTTACTAACTGGTTAAGTCTGTCATAGTTCACTGTCATCTGCCATGACAGGGGCCAGGCTAGTGTATTAAATGGGACATATGATCCAGACCATCTCCTCTGCATTTTTTTTTGTTTTTGAGACAGGGTCTTGCTCTGTTGCCCAGGCTGGAGTGCGGTGGTGTGATCTTGGCTCACTGCAACCTCTGCCTCCTGGGTTCAAATGATTCTCCTGCCTCAGCCTCCTGAGTAGCTGGGATTACAGGCGTGCACCACTGGCTAATTTTTGTATTTTTAGTAGAGATGGGGTTTCACCATGTTGGTCCCACTGGTCTTGAACTCCTGACCTCAGGTGATCCGCCCACCTCTGCCTCCCAAAATGTTGGGATTACAGGTGTGAGCCACCATGCTCGGCTTCCTCTGCATTTTTTGTCTTTGAAGTGACACTAATCTCTGCCATTCCCCTAGGAAGTGATTATGTTTTTGGTTTACCCTCTTGGCCCAGGGATAGGGGCAGCTTCAGAGGCTTCCACTTAACCTTTTGTAGTACAGGAGCTCTTAATCTACTGGCCAAGAAACGATGGTGATGTTCTGCCAACTAGTAAGTATATATGTTGCAATCATATATTCTGGAATTGGAAATGACCTTGCAGTTCCTGGCCCAGGACTCCATTTTTTACCTGACCCCATATGCTTCTACTACCATGGAGGAACCATGATGGGGTTTTGGGTCTCAGTGTCTCAGTACCAGCTTAGATCCTGTATCTGACATCCCTCAGAAGGTCTGGATTTTCCATTTCCCCATTGTAATTACCCTTTCTCTTCAGTTAATGGCCATAAATCCAGTTGGGAAATAACTACTGTACATATTTACTGTGGCATCGCAGGGGTCTTTCTTATGGGGACCCATCCTCCTTTTCAGTTGATGGGTTCAGGATGTGAGAGGTGGTTTAGATCTGGAAACTGGACATGGGACCATGACTTTCCAATGGGGTTTCTAATCTCAGTCTCCTGCTCATCCACTCTTGAACTCTTTTGATTCTATATATTAAATGATACCCTGGTTGAATCCTGAGAATGTCATGTTTTATTAGCCATTTTAATCAATTAGAGGTCAGCAAGCAACTTCTGTAAAGGGCCAGATGGTAAATATTTTAGGGTTTGCAGGACATAGAATCACTTTTGCAATGACTCAACTCTGTCATTGTAGCACAAAAGCGGCCGTAGATAATATGCAACAAATGGGCGTGACTGTGTTCAATAAAAATTTATTTATAAAAACAGATTGTGAGCAGAATTAGGCCTGCAGGGCTGTGGTTTGCTGATACCTGCCATAGATGTCTGCAGGTCAGGGCCCTACTTTCTTGGCTGCCATTCTGACTTAGAAGCACGCATGGTAAATCCACTGACTTTGCTTTTGAAAGTCAAGTGCCACCACCATGTATCTGCTACATCATAAGTTTAGCACCCCCATTGCTACTAGGGATCCCAGTTCTGTAGCAACATCTCCAACTCTGTCCAAGCCTACTGAGGACAGGCAGTACTGAGTCTATTTGCAGTGCCATTGTCCCCTCACCAGTGCACTCCTCATCCACTGGGAAGATGGTGTGTCCTCTGGGCCCTGCAAGGGCCATAATTGGCTAGTGTTCTAATCCCAGCCTCTTGCTCATCCATTCTTCATCTCTCCTTTAATAATTTATTGAGGCAAAATTCAAGCAACATGAAATTAAGCATTTTAATGTGAACAACTCAGTGGCATTTCGTGCATTCACAATGTTGTACGCCTATCATCACTAATTCCAAAACACTTCCATCACTCCAAAGTAAAACCCCTCAAACATTAAGCAGTTTTTCTCCCCACTTCAGCCCCTAGCAACTGCCAATCTGCATTTTATCTCTCTGGATTTGTCTATTGTAGATATTTTATATAAATGGAATAATAAAAGATATGACCTTTTATATCTGGCTTCTTTCACTTAGCATAATGTTTCAAGGTTTTATCCATGTTGTAGCATGTATCAGTACTTTATTCCTTTTTATAGCTAAATAATATTTCATTGTGTGTGTATATATCTTGATATTTATACATCTATATCTATACACCACAGCTTATCTATTCATTCATATATCAAACATTTGGTCTGTTTTCACCTTTGGCTACTGTGAGTAGTGCTATTATGAACATACATGTACCTATACTTGTTTGGTACCTGTTTTCAATTATTTTGGGTATATATCTAGGAGTGGAATTGTAGGGTCATATGGCAATTCTATGTTTAACTTTTTCAGAAATTGCCAAACTATTTTCTACAGTGGTCGAACCATTTTGCATTCTCACCAACAATGTACGGAAGTTGCAACTTCTCCACATCCTTGCCAACACTTGTTTTTTGTTTTTTTTGATTATAGTCCTCCTAGTGGGTGTGAAGTGGTACCTCACTGTGGTTTTGATTTGCATATCCCAAATGACTAATGATGTTGAGCATCTTTTTCATGTGTTTGTTGGCCATTTGTGTATTTTCTTTGGAAAAATGTTGATTCAAGCACTTTGCCCATTTTTTAATTGGGTTGTCTTTTCTGCTATTGACTTCTAAGAGTTCTTTATGTATATTTTGGATACTGGACTCTTATCAGATATATGATATATGCAAATATTTTTCCCATTGTGTGGGTCATCTTTTCACTTTGTTGATAATGTCCTTGGCTGCAAAAACAATTTTAACTTTGATAAAGCTTTTGTTGCTCTTGTCTTTGGTGTCATATCTAAGAATCTATTACTGATTCAAGGTTATAAAGATTTACCCTAAGTCTTCTTTTAAGAATTTTATAATTTTATCCCTTATATTTAAGCTGTTAATTCATTTGAGCTAATTTTTATATATCGTGTGAGGTAGGGGTCCAACTTTATTCTTTTGCATGTGGATATCTAGTTGTTCTAGCGTCCTTTGTTGAAGGGACTATCCTTTCCTCATTGAATGGTCTTGGCACCCCTTTTGAAAATCAATGGGGTATCAATGTATGGGTTTACTTTTGGACTCTCAATTCTATTCCATTGGTCTATCTGTCTATCTTTATGATAGTACCACATTGTTTCAATTACTGTAACTTTGCAGTAAGTTTTGAAATTGGGAAGTTTGAGTCCTCCATCTTTGTTCTTCTTTTTCTTTTCTTTTTTTTTTTTAACTTGTAAAGCAATTTTATTTTTGTTTAACCTTAAGCTTGCTAGGTTTTTTCCCTGAACAACATTTGTCTTGTTTTGATACCCACCTACACTCATATTAGAAATGTAGTGCAAACTGCTTGGTGATTCCACTTTGAATTTATAGTCATGTGACTAGGATGTTTTGAATATATGTTCTTCTTTTTCAAGATTGTTTTGACTACTTTAAACTCCTTGTAATTCCACAAGAATTAGAAGATTGGCTTTTCTATTTCTGCAAAAAAGGCCATTGGGACTATGATAGGGACTGCATTGAATCTTCATCTCTTTTGATTCTATAGATTAAGCGATACTCTTGTTGAATCATGGGAACATCATGTTGTTATTAACCAACACTATATATCAGGGGTCAGCAAACTTTTTCTGTAAAAAGCCAGAAAGTAAATATTTGAGATTTTGAGGGCTATATGGCATTATATAGTAGCAATATAAGAGTCTTTGGACTCCTCTCACAGTCTGTGTAGCAGCTTCCGGAAGCCATCCCAGCAACATATTAGAATCATCTCCTGGAGTCATTGCCAGGGTGTTAAATCCTGTGATATGAGGTATGCCCCTATATCAACAAAATTTTTCTTATCCAGCTTTATATTCAGTTTCTCCTCTTGACTCAACACCTTCAGCATCCACTTTCATATACACTCTCCTGGTTTCTGCTGTTTCCTATTAGGCAGGTCTTACAGTTCCTTTGCTGGATAAATCCCTCTCTTCCCTTAGTAGGTCAAGCACTTGCCCTGTGAAACCAGGCTGTGATTTGGTCGTGGTTATGGCTGTGGTGGTCAGGAAGGGAGGCAGGGATACCTCGTGAAGAGGGCTAGCATTGTGCTCTAAGGAGCTTGCCTCATTGAGGCTTCTATACAAACTTAAATCAAGGCAGGGGGCAGGGGAGGATTCTTCCAACAAGGAGGGGTGAGCATTTTTTGCAGGCCCAGGGAGTCCAGGAGGATTGGGGATTCAAGAGTTCAAGTGTATCCCATATAGATATCTTTCTCCCAGATTTCAGGGTCTCACTTCTTCCCATTAGGACTTTGACTTGGTGTATGAGAATTGTGAGGTGGAGAAGGCAACTTTCTCTGAAGTTCTGCTACTCTGACAATTATGTCCTGTTTCCAGACCTCACCTGGGTCTGCTGTCCAATTGCAAGAGATGAGGGTCCCTTTAAATACTGTTGAAGAAGCTCTCTGCCTCTCACAGTTGCTTTACACTGATGCCTGATAGTCCTGAGCTTGTCATTTTCTCTTTTCAAAGCATCCGTATTCAGCAACAACTACCCACGTTGACGGTCCTTCTACTGACTCTTTCTCCATTGTCTCTCAAACTCCTGAGGTACCACATGAGTCTGTGCACTTCCCACCTGTGCCCCATCCCCGCCAGCACAGGTGAAAGTCTCAGCAGCCACACAGCTGCCCCCTGCTCCGAATGCCCAGTTCTCCACCTACCACCAGGCCTGTGAGTGGCCCATCCGGGAATCTCATCCTTGGATCTGCTTCTTAGGCCCACTTCTGGCACCAACTGCCTTGGGTTGGGTTCTCTGAGCTTGAGAAGGGGTTCAGGTTCCCATGATTTATTGAGAGAGTGCTCTTCAGAAAAAATCCTGGAGAGGAGGAAGTAAATTAGGATGGGGAAGGGAAGGAGCTCAGCAAGGCAGAGTCCAGGCTTGGCCCGATCCATGGTGGTGGGCTGTGGAGCATGAATCACACTGCAACGTCATCTGCTCTTGAAGCAAGGGGGCCAGACTTTTGTACCCCTCTATCAGTCAGGGGTTGTGGGTGTCCATCCCTAGGGTGGAAGTATAACCTCCCTGGCAAGGTAACTCCTGTCAGCTCAGTGTAATTTTCTGGAGAAGGAGCAGCTGTGAATTGTTATCATCTGGGAGTGGATGGACCTGGTAAGCATCCACTGCAGAGAGAGTGGCATGTTCTGCTAGCAGCAGCAATTTCAGCAGGGCTGAGGCCTGCACAGTGAGGCATCCAAGAGGTAGTAGTTCTTGGACCAGGGTAGCTTGCCATGGGGGTGGTGAGAAATGGTTGGTTTTCAACACACGCACCTATACACTCCCCCCACCACACACATAGAGGGGGTCTCACTCTGTTGCCCAGGCTAGAGTGAAGTGGTGTGGTCATAGGTCCCTGCAGCCTTGATCTCCCAGGCTCAAGCAATCATCCCACCACAGACTCCCAAGTAGCTGGGACTACAGGTGTGTGCCACCACGCCTGGCTTTTTTTTTTTTTTTTTTTAGTAGAGACAAGGTCTTGCTATGTTGCCCAGGCTGTCCTTGAACTTCTGAACTCAAGCGATCTTCCCACCTAGGCCTCCCAAAGTGCTGGGATTACAGGTGCGAGCCACTGCACCCAGCCTGAATATATTTTTTTAAATGACTTTATCGAGGTATAAATGACATATAACAAATAAGCTGCACATAAAGTGTACAATTTGATAACTTTTAACATGTGCATGTATAGATCCATGTAATCATCACAATAATGAAGATAATGAACATTTCCATAACCCCCAAAAGTTTCCTGTGCCCTTTGTGACCCTCTCTCCTGCTCATTCTCATTGTACCTTGCACCCTCCTTTTCACCTTCCTCCGAGTCCCAGGCAGCCAGTAATCTTCTTTCTATCACTATAGGTGAGTTTGCCTTTTTTTTCATTATATTTTAAGTTCTAGGGTACATGTGCACAACGTGCAGGTTTGTTACATATGTATACATGTGCCATGTTGGTGTGCTGCGCCTGTTAACTTGTGATTTACATTAGGTATATCTCCTTTTTTTAAGAATTTTGCACTGATGGAATCATACACTAGGTACTCTTTTTTTTTTCTTTCACTGCTTTCATTTAGTCTAATTATTTCGCGATTCATTCATGTGGTTGAATGCATCAATGGTTCATTCCTTTTTAGTACTGTGTAGAATTCCAATATGTGGGTGCACCACAGTTTGTTTATCCATTCATCTGTGGATGGACATTCAGGCTGTTTCTAGTTTTTGGCAACGATGTGTAAAACTGCTATGAACATTTGTGTACAAGTCTTTGTATGGACATATGCTTTCTTTTCTCCTGTATGAATAGCGAGCTGTGGACTGGCAGGATCACATGGTAGGTGAGTGTTTAATTTGACAGAAAACTGTCAAACTGTTTCCAGAGTGACTGTATTATTTTACATTCCCATAAGCAGCATATGAAAGTATCAATCCCCACATCCTCACCAACACTTGCTATGCCTAGTCTTTTAAACTTGAGCCATTTTAGTAAGTGTTCTGGATATGTGTTGAATGTAGAGCCTACAGGATTCATAATAGATTGGATCTAGGATTTGAGAGAGGGGTTATTTATGCAACAAATATTAACTGAGTGCTGTCTCTATCCTGGCATTTTTTTTAGAGGTTTGGGGCATAGTAGATAACAAAACGCACATAATCCCTTCCCTCATGGACCTTACAGCCTACATCACTTTCTTGCCTGTTTGGGGAAGACTAAGGTGGCTTAGGGTGTGGGATGAGGAGGCAAAGAAGGAGGCAAGTTCAACTGATGGAGGTGGTGAATGGTGTGAGAGCAGAGGGTGAAGGCAGGCTGTGTGGTGTAAGATTCAGGGGGTCTGGTCTAGAAAGATACAGTGACATCCTGTTTCCTATTAGTGTGACCCTAGCTGGGTCATGTGACTGCACTGGGCAGCTTCAGTTTCTTCATCTGTAAAGTGGGAATAATGAATACTTTAGGTGAACTGAGATGTCTTACTGGCACTTAGCCAGATCTAGACGCTAAGTGCAGTCCTTAAAAAATATCCTTACTGAAGTCAGTGACATTACATTTATTCACCAACTTTACTTTTTAGAGGGGACCAGAGAGTCCTGTGTCCTCAGAAATGTCCCAGGGATCACAGAGTCAGCCCATGGTCCAGTGCCTTATTTCCACCCTCTTCTGCTAACTCTTCAGGTGCAGACTATCAGCCTGTGGGCCCTGAACAGGTGAGCAGAGTGTAAGGGCTGTTTGCAGCTTTATTTTTAGAGCCGGCCCTGGAAGATGGCTCAGGCTCCGAGGCTCCATGGGGAGCTGAAGTCAGGCTATATTTAGGAAACACAGCTGCATCCCACTATCCCTCCCATGTCACTGGGATTTAGTCCTGGTGTTCGGAAAGAACACCTCAGGTTTGCCTAAGCTGTGTTTTGTATCTGTGGGTGTCCCCAGGAGCAATGGGGCACCCTTCCTCGGAGCCTCTGTCTCAAGCTCTCTGTGATGAAGGCGCAGGCAGGGTACGACCTGCCTCCTTTGTATCACCAGTGGTTTCTGCCTCATCGTGATGCTCACGGCTGGGAGTGTGGCTCCCTTCAGTGCCCTCTGTATAGCCATAGCAACCATGATGATCCACATTTGTTCAGCATTTCCTGTTTACCCAGTGCTTTTACAACCATCTCCTATTGCATCCTCCCGATGGGTCTGGAGTGTGGCATCATGATCACTATCCCTGTGTTCTGGATGAGGAAACTGAGACTCCAAGAAATGCAAGGATATGCCTAAAGGCACTGTGTGAGTGACCGAGGTCATGAACTTAGGCTGTGGGATTCCAAGGTCAGGGTTCTTTCAGTTAAGTTGTCATTGTTGTAGTAATTGTGCAATCTGTAAGTCCCTGGCCTATCCTGCCCCACCACCTGCCTGCACAAATCCTTCTCTTTTGAGGCTCTGTAGTTGGCTCAAATGCCACCTTCTCTGGGAAGCCCTTTCTGATTCTTTCAGATGAATGTGAACTCATGGGTCATTTCATGATACAATGCAGAATGCCATGGGGGTGGAGTGTGGTTTAGCACAGCTCCTATGTGCACGTCATACCTCCGCTACTGGCTCACAAGCTCCTCTTCATATTCCCTATGTCATCTTGTCGAGACCTCACGAGCTTGTAGCAGGTGCTTAAGTTCTGACTGAATTGAATTCCAACCAAATGCTGTAACTGGATGGTTCCCAGATCCCACATAGGGTTTGAGATTGGACAGATCCTTGAGCTCATAGCCTGGTGCTGCCATTTTCTGGCTGGATGACCTAGGCTATTATCATAACCAACTCTAGGCCTCAGTTTGCTCACCTGTAATGCGGGAATAATCATAGTCCTATTTCATGAGGCTGTGGTGTGAGGATCAGAAGAGCTAATGCAAATGAAGACCATGTTTATTATGCCCAGTGCATAATGAATGCTAAAAAATTAGCCACACATATTCTTATTCTTTTTTTTTTTTTTGAGACGGAGTCTTGCTCTGTCGCCAGGCTAGAGTGCAGTGGCGTGGTCTCGCTCACTGCAACCTCCCACTCTCTGGTTCAAGCGATTCTCCTGTCTCAGCCTCCCGAGTAGCTGGGATTACAGGCACACGCCACCACGCCCAGCTAATTTTTGTATTTTTAGTATAGATGGGGTTTCACCATGATGGCCAGGATGGTCTCAATCTCCTGACCTCATGATCCACCCGCCTCGGCCTCCCCAAGTGCTGGGTTTACAGGTGTGAGCCACTGTGCCCGGTCCATATTCTTAATCTTTATTCAGCAATCTTGACTGATTCTCTAGCAGGAACAAAGATCAGTTGATGTGTGACATCAGATGACATCACACAAAAAATAAACAAATAGATGTTCATTAGGAATGTCCTGTGACATTCATTTATTCGTTCATTCTCTTATCCATTCAGAGTCGATATGACTCACCTGGGAGCACAGACAAGGGTGGGCATTAGTCCACATCTTCCCTGTCTCATGGTTAAAGCCACTCTTTTCCTGCAGAAGGGGAAATTTCTCTGCTTTCTTGGTAGAGAAGTTGGTCACCTTCCCTTTTTGCCATCAGAACTGTAGGCAGAGGCCTGGAGATTAGAGAGGAGGGGGCCTTGGGAGGCTGTGATGGCAGGGGATGGCCAGTGTGTTCTGGGAGGCACAGGTCCTCCCAGTGGACAGAAGCAGGAAGCTGGCAAGGATAGCAGGTACCTGAAGCGGGGGTCTGACTGGAGTAGTCCTTTGTAGCAGGGTGACCTGGTTGGCCTAGGAGTAGTGAATGCCCAGGAATGGCTGAGTTGGTTTAGTTCTGAGCTGGCATCCAACCAGACTCTTTGTCCTATAGGAGAGAGCTTCACTGGCCTTATGGCAAGGACTGGCAACCTTGGCCCGGTGAATGGGAGCATGAATAGCCCAGCTGGTTTTCTTATGGAGGATAACCTTATGGAGTTTATTCTGGTTTTACTTTATGTAGATGAGGGAGTAACTTAGCTGACTCTGTAGAAGGGGAGTAGGAGTGGCCTAGGATGTGGCAGAGACAGTGGTGATCACATCACTGAGAGTCCATCTGCTCTCCCAGAACCGCGTGATTGCTTCTGCTTCTGTGAGTAGAAGCAAGGTGAGTCACTTCTGGGATGCAGTATGGAAGAGCTGGTGTGACATCCTACAACTTCTCTTCCCCTGCTGCAGTGATAGAAGAGGCTGAGAGTTTTAGGTGGAAGAGTCTCTGCCAGCCAGGATCCCTGAGTGACTATGTGGAGCAGAGTCTACCTCAGCCTCAAGCTGGCTCTGGGAGCAAGAAACAAACCTTTGTTGCATTTAGCCACAGAGATTTTGGGGTGATTTCCACTGCAAAGTGAACATTAGATACCTGCAAAAGTTGATGGTAATGGCATGGGGAGGATACTAATGTTTCCTAGATTCTGGAAAATATTTTTGTTCAAGTTCCATTTATATTGTGTTCTGGGGAGCAGTTCCTATGCTGAACATCAGTTACCTTACCAATCTTCTTGATTCTCTCAACACATAGGGAAACTGAGGCTCAGAGAGGTTAAGTAACAAACTTAAGGTCATGTGGCTGGTTTCGTGGCATAGCTAGACTTTATAACCTTGGTCTTAACAAGTATGTAAATGAATGTTTTTTTTCATAAAGAGAATTTCATTTGCCCATTGGCTTTGCTCAATTCTCTCAGCGGTGCTTCATCATCAGTTTGATTATCCTTAAGTGAAGTTCACCCTGTAGTCAAGCAATTAATGTCAATAAACAAACACTCAAATGTAGCAGGAGAGCCAGCTCTGAAAGGGGAATGGGGATGAGTCCTTAAGTGAAACAAGAACTTTTTAAGAAGATGAATAATGGCTGTCTCTTTTTTGCAAACTAGAATTTTTGTATATCGAAGATTTTAAAAAACAGTAATGCCATGTATATTTTTGTGTACATATATACTTAGGTGTGTATGCATATTTTGGTGTGTCTTGTGGATATGTGTGTACCAAGTGTCTGGATTTACAGACAATGCATTCTTGATCAACACACACCCAATTAATTGAACTTTTTCATAATGTTTAATCCCTTTATGAGAATGAAGACAATAACGAAAAGTAGGAATATATTTTTGAAACTATAAAATTTTTAGTATTTTGAAAGTATTGAATTTTTATCAAACCCAGCCTCCTAAACCTTTAGGTTGTATTAATTCATTTATTTAATGAGCAATTATTGTGCACCTAGTGTGTCCCAGGCACCTGGGCTTCAGGGGCAAAGTACTGATAATGACCTCGAAGAACCAAGGAGCTTCCTAAGGGAGAAAATACAAGAACCCAGAACTCTGTGACCCAGTAAGACAGTGGTAAACACTGTATGGGGATTCCCCGGAGGACTAGGAAAGTTCAGAAGGGAAATTTTTCCCACTTAGGGTGAGAAGTCAGCAAAAGCCTCACAGGGAAGACAGCATTTGAGTTGACTCAGGACAGGGAGGATGGGGTAGGATTTTGATAGAGACTTCAGGAGAGGCTGTTCCTACCAGACACAACATCCAGAGCTCAGGCATGATGGTAAGGGTGAAATTAAACTAATGCACTTCAACAAGGAGGTTGAAATAAGCGATTGCAGGTTAACCTCTAATTAACCGGAAAATGCCAGTAACTGGAACCACTTATAGAAGGTTGTTCCATGAATTAAGATTTTCCTGTGCGTGTGCACGGTGTGTAAGACTACGCAGTCACAGATACACTCACACAGATACTTCAGCCCCACGCTGCCCTAAGGACCCTCCCTTTGCACGCAGTGGGCGCGAATCTCTGCACCCCTCTGTGGCAGGGAGCGGTGCTGCCCATCAGTCTGGAAGACACATTCTCAGCACGTCACGCTGCGGCCCCACGGAGGCCCCGTTCCAAGAGTATTGGAAATGTAATCACAACAGTTTTTATTAGCAAAAGAACAGCAGGAACCCTTCTGCTGTCCATATGGACAGATCCCGATGGGTATTCATGAAACAGTTTGCTACGGGAACAGCCGTGCTTAAAACTCCTCGTCCAATTACCTTTGAACTTGCCTTTTTTGCTGCAGTGGCTACTGCTGCTGCATGTGAAACATCTTACACACTCGTTTCTCCCCAGGAGGGAGGCATCTGCTTCACCCTGTTTGGGGTTCTTTGCCCTGGAGGCTGGGCAGCGGTGGGTCCGAGGAGATTCAGGAGTTTTGGGCCTGGTCACTCATCATGGATGTCCAGGCGGTCAACTCGGTTTCATTTGTCCTGTTAAATTGGCCAGCTAATTGGAGCCAACGATAGCTTTTGGAGAAACCCCTTAGCCCTGTTAGGGCTTAGAACAAGGGGCAATTCTGCAAGGACATTTGGTGAGAGGGTTAAGAACTTGCTGATGTAAGCATTGTTTCCTGGCCATGTCCAAATGCTTCCCAGGTAGAGGGCAATGGGTATAGTGACCATGCAGCCTAGGTGCTTGGATACATTTCTAATCCCCAATACCTCTTCTCACCATCCCTACTGGTATCTATAAGTTCAGATCAAGTTATATGCCACAATTCTAGGAAAGAAAATACAGTTTTTATGTATGGAGGACAGAAATATGTACATCGGAAATAGGATCCCTGTTAAATCAGAAAGAAGCCCCTGCCTTCTGCAGGTTGCAGGTGCCAGACCTTGAAATTCATTGGCTGGAAGAAGACAGAGAAGGAGCATCATGCAATTTGAAGCTGGCAAGTCTCAGAGTTGGTGAAAATCAATACTGGGAGTGGCCAACAAAACAAACACAGTTTTAGTGGTTGATGCCTTGTGAACTGAGCAGATCTGCCGTGGATATCCAGGTCAGAGAGAAGTCAGAGGGGACATCTGATGTTCTGCCTGCTGCGCTGCCATCTTCTGGCAATGATGTTTCCGTTTTCCTTTGGGAATTCATCACTTTCCTGCTCTCAGGCAGTGGGGTTGGACTGGGCTGGCTTCTGTCCTCTGCCTTGAGGAGTGGATGTAGAACTCAAGCCTGGCCCAATAGCATCTCATGGATTGGTTGTGAAATGAGCCTACTTGGGACAAAAAGGATGTGACTTGGGGCTTTTGCTGGAACTCTCTTCAAGTAAGGAGGCTTCTAAGCAGGGGAAATGTGGGCCTGAAGGTGTGGGTGGCTATGTATTTGTCACCTGGAAAGAACCTGATGAGAAGGACTCCCATCCTGATCCAACCATGCCCAAGGCTATGCCATCTTGGCCACTTGGTACCTGAAACAATGGATCTTCTTCTGTGCCTAAGGCAGTTAGAGAAGCCTCCAGGGGTTAAGATTCTGCTAGATGACCCTCTTCTCAAAGGAAGTGGTCCTTCCAGGTCTTCCTCCCTGTTTTCAAATCCATCACCTTAGGCCTCCCATTTCTCATCGGGGGCAGCTTCTCAAGCTGGCTAGAGGAGAGTCAGGCATCTTGCCTGGGTGTGGAATCACATATGGTGGTGTCAGATGGTCCTGGGTACGATCCTGGCTCATCGTAGTGGCTCATTAAATCATGTTAATAATCTGACTGCATACATTTATGGGGCTTTTCCATTTCCCATCCCTGAAGGCAGAATCACCCTGGGGTTTAGTCCAGAGTGTGGACTTTGGAGTCAGACCAGACCAGGATTCATGCTCCAGCACTGCCATTGCTAGCAATGACTTGGGAAAGTTGCTTAATCTCTGTAGGCCTCAACTCATCAGGAAAATGGGCATGACTATGCTTGTCCCCCACTGGATTTTACGAGGCCTGAATGAGAAAATTCATGCAAAGCAAAGCTTAGCCTGGCATGTTCTACGTGGGAGCCACTATTGTTATTTCTAGAAACCCATAAAAACAAATTCTTAAAGCTACTAAGCCAATGCCCCTCAATTAGTATTCCACTGGATTTCCCAGTGCACACTCTTCCTTTTCTTTCTATCTTTTCCTCCCAGTATCCACTGAGGACTGGGTTTTCTGTTCTGAAGTCTGTGTTTACCCAGATGTAGAAGATAACAGGTACATTATGAGAGCTCTCCAGGGGCAGGAGCCATACCCAACAGCCAGGAAAGACTAGAGCAGAAGAAAGTGTGTTCTGATGGAGGAAAAAGGGGCAATTCTCAGGAAGGGGACAGCCTTGCTGAGGGCTGATGGATCCAACATCTTTGACTGCATGATATTTGTTTGAAGGACAAAACCACTGTTGTTCCACCTTGGAGATGCGGAGCTCGCCTCTTCAGTTCAATTCAGTCTTCCTGAGTATCTACTTTGTTTAGAGTCATGGTATCCAACCCAGCTCAGATTTTCCCTCTTATTTGTTTTCTTATCCAAGTAGAAAGAGGGAGTATGCAGCAGTATGGAA
Source organism: Homo sapiens (assembly GCF_000001405.40). Taxonomy (NCBI): domain Eukaryota; kingdom Metazoa; phylum Chordata; class Mammalia; order Primates; family Hominidae; genus Homo; species Homo sapiens. The sequence goes on from NC_000010.11 coordinate 78,167,331, forward strand.
ATTGTAGAAATTGGCAAGCTGATTCTATAATTCATATGGAAATGAAAAAGACCTAGAATAGCCAAAACAATTTTGAAAAAGAACAAAGTTGGAGGACTAACACTGCCTGATTTTAAAGCTTATTATAAAACTACAGTAATCAAGACAGTGTAGTATTGGCATCAAGATAGACAAATAGATCAACAAAATGGAACTGGGAGTCCAGAAATAGACCCATGCATATACGGACAACTGATTTTTTGACAAAGTTGCAAAGACAATTCAGTGGAGAAAGGATAGTCTTTTTTAAAACAAATGATGATAAAAAAATTAGATACTCATATGCAAAAAAAAGCTTTGATCCATAACTTGCACTACATGTAACAATTAGATCAAAATGGATGACAAATCTAAATGTAAAACCTAAAACTATAACACTTCCAGAAGAAAACAGGAGAAATCTTTGTGACCTTGGTTTAGGCAGAGTTTTAAAATATGACACCAAGAGCATAATCCATAAAAGAAAAAAATAATATATTGGACTTCATCCAAATGAAAAACTTCTGCTCTTTGACATATACTGTCAAGGGAATTAAAAGGCAAGTCACAAACTGGGAGAAAATACACAAAAATCGTGTATCTGATGAACTTGCATCTGTAATATAAAAGCAGCTTACAATAAAAATAAGACCACCTAATTAAAAGCAAACAGAAGATTGTAATGCACATTTTACTATAGAATATACTCAAATGGTTAATAAGCACATGAAAAGATGCTCAACATCATTAGTCATTAGGGAAATGCAAACTGAAATCACAATGAGATATCACTATACATCCTATTCGAGTGGCTAAAATGAAAAAGACTGACCATGCCAGGTGTTGGTGAGAATATGGGGACTGAAACTCTCATACACTGCCGCTGGGAAGTAAAATACTGAAAAACAGTTTGACTATTTCTTATCAAGTTTAATGTGTACCTACAGTTATGATCCAGCCAGTCCACAGCTAGCTACGCACTGAAGAGAAAAGAAAGCACGTGTCCATACAAAGACTTGTACACAAATGTTCATAGCAGCTTTACTGTAATTGCCAAAAACTGGAAACAACCTGAAAGTCCATCAGCAGGTAAATACATAAACAAACTGTGATGTGTCCATATATCGGAATACTGCTCAGAAATAAAAAGGAATGAACTAATGGTATATGCAATAATATAAACAAATATCAAAATAATTATGCATAAGGAAAGAAGCCAGAAAAAAGAGTAATACTTAGTTTGATATATATTTCATTCATATAAATTTTAGAAGATGCAAGCTGGTCTATCATGACAAAGAGCAGATCAGTGCTTGCCTCGGGGTTGAGGGCAAGGGGCTGGCAGTGAGTGGTGGGAGGAAATTTCTGGGGGTGATGGATATGTTCATTATCTTAATTGTGATGGTTTCATGGGTTTCTGTATGTCATAACTTACCAAAATGTACACTTTAATTATGTGTCATTTATTATATGTCAATTATATGTCCTAAGTATGCTGTTAAAAAAGGAAGAGATGATAAGACTCTAACAGCAGCACCTGGATCAGATAAAATAGTCCAAGAAGGTGGCTGGCTGTCCAGGGGAAGAGGGAGAGATGGAACAGATTACTGGCTCCAAGGCCAATGTCCCTTATTTTGTACCTGCCCACCTTTTCCCCCACTGTCCCCTCTGTCAGGGCATGCCCTTCCCATCCTCCTCACCTATTTAGATTCTATTGTCCTTCTAGATCTAGGAGAGAAAATGCTTCCTCCACGAAGCCTCCCAGGACCAGATGAAGAGTTGTGTTTTCTTCATCTTATATGCTTGTACAGCATTAATTTTGTATATTACTCCTTGGAGTGTGCATTGTGGGTCTTGCCACATAGAGGACAAATAAGTGAAGGGTTCAGTTAGCATCAGTAACTGCTCTCTCAGGCTCTCCTGAGGCTTCTAAAAGTGTCTTCTCTTCCTGGTCGTTTTTCCACCTCCCTTGGGATGGGACGAGAAGGAGGTCTGCCCACACAAGCTTCTTTTCAGTGAGCAGCAACTCCGCCTACTGGAGGGCAATGCCCATGAAGCACCCCTCTCTCTCCCATGTGCAGTCAATCACAACATGCCCCAGGCTCTCTTCAAAGCTTGAATCAACCTACTCTTTTCTCTATGGCCACGACCCTAGTCCCAACTGCCATCACTGTTTGCATTTGCTGGGAGCACCACACTAGCCTTGTCTCTGGTTTCTCTACTTCTACTCCTCCCACCACTCCCAATGGGCCTATTCTTAACCCAGCACCCAGAGGGATTCTTCCAAGAGTTGCATCAGCCTATGCCACTTCCCCGCATGTCACTTTTACCTAAATTCGCCCAACTGCACTCAGATTAAAACCAAAACCCCTTGCCATGGCCATACGGCTGAGCTGATGTGGCTTCTGCTGCACTCACTGGACTGGCCTTTCTTCAGTATGGAGCACACCCTGGACTCCTTGCCCCTTGGGTCCATGGCACGTCCTCTCCGTCTCCTGGAGCTTGTTCCTCACCCATCCTCCTTTGCAGGAGCTTCTTCTGAGAGGCCTTCCCTGGATATCTGCTCAAAGCTCTTCCTTCCTCTTTGTTCTTTGTCTCACAACATTCAGTTCTGTTCTTTCTTTGCACATATTCCTATTTGTAAGTGCATATTTATATGTTGTGTTACTAACATAAAGGCTGTCTGCTCCACTCAGATGGGAGCTCTGGGAGAGCAGGAAGCCAGTCTCCCGTTTACTGTTGTCTGCCATGTCCCCAGCACCAGGCTCTCAAAAATATTTGTTGAATGAGTGAATGAATGAATCACAAGGCGAGATTTGAGGGAACTGACTTTCTGCTGTATCCATTGTCCTAGTGACCTTGGAGCATGAGGATATATTTTTCTGCCTTACAATGCACACTTCTGAAATCAGGATGGCTCTTACCATTGTGGCATATGTTTGATGAGGCAGTATTTTTCCTCCAGGAAGCTTCTAACTTAGTGATTCACTCTTACAATGATGCACATTATATCTAAGAATTGCAGTAACAGGAAAATCTTTGCATTGCCTAATAGATGAGAGTGTTTGGCCCTCAGTTTCTGAGAGCTTCCTTGTTGTCTCTCAGCCGTGACACCTGCTTTGTGACTTGGCTTGTGTGATGTAATCAAATATTTAGTATTTATATTGTTCATAGGTATGGGCAGTTTCTCCTTAGCTCAGACTGTAAGCTTCCTGAGGGCAGATATGGTGTTTTACACTTTGCCGTTTAAGGACTCAGATTGGGCACAGAAGGGGAGGGGAGGAGATGATATGAAAGGAAGAGGAGGGGAGAGGCAAGACAGGGGAAGTAAGGGGAGGAGTATCTAATTCCTGGCCCTCCCTAGCCATCCCTTTAGCTCCTACAGTGTCTAGTGGCCCAGCTGTGAGACCTCTTGAACTGCCCTGGCCTCATGGGCCCAGGCCCTGCCATCAGACCCCAGACCTCCATGCTGCTGAGAAATGGTGTGTCCCAATGGTTAGGAACACTGGGTGGACCCAGGTCAACTTAGGCTCTATCCCAGGTCTTGTATTTTGCTAGCTGTGTGGCTCAAGACAAGTTGGTTTCTCTCTGAGCCTCAGTTTCCTCATCAGTAAAAAGGGGATGATAATAATATCCACCTTGTAGGATAAATGTAAGTAGAGATTATGGTAAAAATATGAACAGCCTGTATTGTGTGAGCACTGGCCAGTCTTCCAGTCTTACAGCAGGATTAGGCGCAAACCTTTAGAGGTATCAGAGGAGGGCAGGGGTGGCTAAGGTGGAAGGAGGACATGCCGGGGCTTGGGACAGCAGCTGTTTAGCAACCAAAGTGAAAGTAATTCAATATTTTAACGACTGGCGTGCCATACAGGTGTGTGATGCCTACATTGTAATATAACGAATGTGAGACATTTAGCATGATGCAGGGTAGATAGTGCCTTGATTCAGGGTAGCAATTGCTAGTAGTGTGCCAGTAAATTCTACTAAACACTGGCTTTCACAAAAACAGTCCTAATTTTTAGCGTTTGCCAATTTCCTTGGTGTAAATCCTACCAATATGGTCAATTTCAAGCTACCAATGTTCCAACGCTGGACCTGGGGTTGGGAAGAGATGTATATGTGACAGTCACCATTGTACAGAATTCCCATCACACAGACACAGGATTCCTAGGTAAACTTAACAATATAGATCATAGTAAAGCATAGTGATATATTTTGAGTATCCTTTAACTTTTGATTTTAATACAATTTAACTCTAAATTTATAGGATTTACATTTTAATAATGGCTGTGTTTAGCAACTGGCTTGCAAACTTTTTGAAAATTTAACAATTGCCTCTAGAGAAGTGGTATAAGCTGTCTCTAGCACACCTTTGAATGACAATGACTATTATACCCACCAGTCTGCTTGCCAGATCTCTACCTATTTGCATTTCTGAGACCTCTGGGGACTCTCTTGCTCCTTACTGTAGCCGACCCCACCTGATGCTCATTCCTGGCTCATTCTCTCACTTCCTGTCACACCTGTGAATTTGCTATTCTTGATAGGCAGGCCCCAAGTATGTGCTCCACCCAGGGGAACATGCCTAGTTCCCAGGTCCCCTCATTCTGTCTGGCCACCCCACCACCTTCTCAACCCCGGCTTCCCTGTTGGGTTGGCCCCTGATGAGACAGTGCTAATTTGGGGAGAAGACAGTGTGCCTAAGGGAAAGCCGTGCTCCTGGGGTGTGAAAGCTGAGTGATGTTGCATTTCTTCTCAGGGCTAGAGAGAACCAGCTACAAAAGAGGGTTTGGCCTATGTTTGCCAGACTGCCTGCACCACCCTACTCTTGGCTGCCATCCTTAGCATTTCTGCTGGCGAAGGTGCTTGACAAATTAATCCCCCAAATGCACAGAAATCTCTCCTGCCAAATTCAATTCTCTAACCAGCGATAAATGCTCACCACTGGCTTGTGCAAGCAAAAACAAAGCACAAACCCAGCAGCAAGGGCTGTGGTGTTCGGGATGGGAAATTTACTGTTCTTTGAAGCCCTGCAGGTCTGTGCATCTCAAAGTTATCAAATGAATTAAAGGGTCAAAGAAAAGGGGATTTGGTAAGCAGCAGTAAGCGTGGCAGAGGAAAGGGTGCTCCACCTGGTTCAGACTTCACCAATAGACAGATCTGTCATCAAGCCTTATCTCAAGGACACTTGCTGGAAAGAGTCAGGCATCTCAGAGGCATGTTCAGGGAGAGGAGACACTGTTAGCAGACAGCCCTGTCCTTTGTGTCTGGGATAAGGAGAAAGAAGGGAGAAGAGGGAAGCTAGGCCTGGAAGATAGTGGTGCGTAGCGAAATGAACCAAGAAGTGGAGGCAAACTGGCTTGGTCTAAATTTAGGTTTCATCACTTTGTACTTGTGTGATCTTGGCCAAATTCGGTCCCATCTCTGAACGTCAGGTTTCTCATCTATTAAAATGGAATAGTGGTATCGTAAAAGATGCTATCGGTGCTTTGTCCATATCTCTTGGCAATCACCGTTCCTGTGTACCCAACCTGGAGACTTCTGACACAAGCACCTGTGGATATTTGTCTAAGGGCTTTCAGGTTGTTTTGAGTATGTGTGTACATGGCACAGGCCAGGCATTGTGGGGGGAGTTAATCCATTCTCCCAACTGGGAGCAACCTTCAACCCATGACTGGCAGGAGTTGGAGGATACATCCCCCAGCTCCTTCATCCCTCAGTGGGGTGACTGAGGTGTGCTGTGCAGATCTCCAGAGTGGCCCAGGGTGATGAAGCCTCATAGGCCTGCAGTAGTGGAGTGCTCCAAAACACACTTTATTGGCTTCTTTCCCTTCTTTTTCTTTTCTTCCCTCTCCTGACTGGTGTTTCCTGGGGTCAAATCCCAGATCAATTGCTTACACCTGAATCCTTGCCCCAGTGACTCCTCCTGGGAGAGCTCAATCTAAAAAACACATTGTATATCATAGGATAATTTTGAGGGTTAAATGGGAAGATGTTTAAAATGCTCAGAGAAAAATAAACTGCAGTGAGCATTACTAGTAGGGATTTGA